>NW_021160000.1:300000-454963 GCF_000001405.40 Homo sapiens
TACATTTTTCCATTTTATTTACCAGTTAAAATAGACTGGGTAAGAAATAACATGCTGGATGGCCTAGAGAGACACAAGCATCCCTGAGAGAGAAAATCATCTGAAGATTTAAGGATCTGTGACATCAGTCACAGAAGATTTTAGAGGGCCCATTTTTCCCCCCCTATACTAAGGAATACTGTTCTGACACATTTGCTGAGTGACACAGAAGGCTTCCACCTTTGACAAAAGCTTAGGGCAGAAAAGGCCTCTGCAGCAGGTCCAGGATCCAGGGCAAGCAGCCCTACTGTTTGAGCCATACAATCTAGTAGGCTCTATGGTATTAGAAATATATGTAGTTGGAAAAAGCACCATGTAGAGTTTATAGCAAACCCTAATAGACGATTCACACATAGTCTTGTGGGGTTCACTAGCATGGTCATGCTATCTGCCAGTAATTGTATATTGTGTAAATATATAGCATAATTGTGTACTTTAATAGCTCCTAGCATGCTACTGCACCTAGGTAGAGATGGACTATCTGACAACAAATATTAAGTGACCATGTAGCTAAAAGTTCCCACAGTGAGTTTGGTTTTGTTAGATCTACCAGATCATAAGGACAGGCTGGCCCAGCAACAAATCATAATAAAATAGAAGTAGCACATTGAATTAGTCCATTTTCACATTGCTATAAAGAACTACCCAAGACTGGGTAATTAATAAACAAAAGAGGTTTATTGACTCACAGTTCCTTATGGCTGGAGAGGTCTCAGGAAACTTACACTTATGACTAAAGGCAAAGGTGAAGCAGGCACCTTCTTCACAAGGCAGCAGGAGAGACAGAGAGCAAGGGGGGATGTGCCAAACACTTTTAAACCATCCGCTCTCATGAGAACTCACTCAATATCATGAGAACAGCATGAGGGAAACTGCCCCCATGATCCAGTCACCTCCCACCAGGTCCCTCTATCTACATGTGGGGATTATAATTTGAGATGAGATTTTGTGGGGACACAGAGCCAAACCATATCACATCAAGGATTGGGCATGAGAAAGACTAGAGGTCACAAGTAAGCAGTATGATCAGGTGATCCAGGTCCCCACATTATCCAGATTGTGACACTAGATTCTCTCCCTCAGCTGGCAACTCTGCCTATGTGGGAGTTCCAATATTGCTAAAGGAGGAAAAAAGCTAAGCTTGTTCATTGGAAGATCAACTCAGGATGTGGATGTAAGTAAAAAATGATAGCAGCCTACTTCAGCTATGGAAAGATAACAGTAGATTAAATCCTCCCATTGACAGTTCAGCATATACGAATCAATAAATATGATATACACATTAACAGAATGAAGGACAACAACTATATGAATATCTCCATGGATGCAGAGAAAGCATTTGACAAAATTCAACATCTTTCTGTAATAAAAACTTTCAACAAATTAGGTATCAATGTCCACATAACACAATAAAGGCATATATGATAGGCCCACAGCTAACATCATACTCAATGGTAAAAAGTTGAAAGCTTTTTCTCTAAGATCAGAAACAAGATGGATGCCCATTTTCACCACTTCTATTCAAGTTCTAGCAATTAGTCAAGAAGAAGAAATAAAGGCATTAAAGTCAGAAAGGAAGAAGAGAAATTGTCTCTGCAGACAACATGATCTTAAATGTAGAAAACCCTAAAGAGTCCACCAAAAAAAACTGTTGGAACTAGTAAATTAATTCAGTAAAGTTGCAGGATGCAAAATCAACATAAAAAAACGAGTAGCATCTGTATACACTAACAATGAACTATCTGAAAAAGAAATTAAGAAAACAATTTCATTTATAATGGCTACACAAATACTTAGGAATTAATTTAACCAAGGAGGTGAAAGACCTGTACACTGAAAACTATAAAACATTGGTGAAAGAAATTGAAGAAGACACAAATAAATGGAAATATATCCCATCTTCATGGATTAGAAGAATTCATACTGTTAAAATGTTCTTAGTACCCAAAGTGATCTACAGATTCAATGTAATCTCTATCAAAATTCCAATGATATTTTTTACGTAAACAGAAAAAAGTCCCAAATTCATGTGAAACCACAAAAAACTCCAAATAGCAAATTGTGAGCAAAAAGAACAAAGTAGAAGGTATCATATTATCCAGGTTCAAAACATACTATGATGATATAGTAATCAAAAATATAACATGATACTGGCATACAAACAGACTGGTAGACCAATGGAATAGAATAGAGAGCCTCAAAATACATCCACGTTTATGGCCAATTGATTTTCAGTAAATATGCCAAGAATACACAATGAGAAAAGGACAATCTTTTCAATAAATGGTGTTGGGAGAACTCCACATGCAGAGAAATGAAATTAGACCCTTATCTCACTCCATATACAAAAAAAAAAACCACAAATGGACTAAAGACTTAAATATAAAACCTGAAACCATAAAACTACTAGTAGAAAATATACAGGAAAAGCTCCATGAGACTGGTCTGGGCAATGATTTTCTGGATATGACCCCCAAAGCACAGGCAACAAAAGCAAAAATAGACAAACGGGATTATATCAAACTAATAAGCTGTGCAAGCAAAGGGAGCAATCAATAGAGTAAATAGATAGCCTACAAAAAGGGAGAAAATATTTGCAAACCATACATCTGATAAAGGATTAATATCCAGAATATATAAAGTATTCATACAATTCAATAGCATGAAAACATATATCCTGATTAATGAAAGGGAGGCAAAGTACCTGAATAAACATTTTTCCAAAGAAGACATACAAATGGCCAACAGGAATATGAAAAAATAACCAATATCACCAGTCATCAGGGAAATGCAAATCAAAACCACAATGAGACATCCCTTTTAGAATGGCTACCATGAAAAAGACAAAAGATAGCATGTGTTGGTGAGGATGTGGAGAAAAGGGAGCCTTTGTATACTGTTGGCGGGAATGTAAATTAGTACAGCCATTATGAAAAATAATATAGAGGTTTCTCAGAAAGTTAAAAATAAAATTACCATATGATCCAGCAATCCTAGTACTATTTATATACCCAAAGAAAATGATTCAATATGTCAAAGAAAAATCTGTACCTCATGTTCATTGCAACATTATTCACAATAGACAAGATATGAAAAAAACCTAAGTATCCTTAAACAGATGAATGATTAAAGAAAATGTGGTGTATATATACATAATGAAATATTGTTCAGCCTTAAAGAAGGAAATCATGTCCTTTATAATAACATGGATGAAACTGGAGGACATTATATTAAGTGAAATAAGCCAGGCACAGAGAGATAAATGCCATGTAATCTCACTTATATGTGGAAACTAAAAAAGTCAAACACATAGAAGCAGAAAATAGAATAATGGTTATTAGGGGCGGGGGGAGGAGGGTAGAACTGGGGAGATGTCGGTCAAAGGATACAAAAATTAAGATAAGCAGGAAGAACAAGTTCAAGAGACCTATTGTACAACATGGTGACTACAGTTAATAACAATGTATTGCATACTTGAAAATTGCTAGGACAGTAGATTTTAAGTGTTCTCACCACAAAAGAAATGATAAGTATGTGAGGTAACACATGTATTAATTAGCTTGAGTTAGCCATTTCACAATGTATCCATATTTCAAAACATCAGGTTGTACACTCCAAATATATACAGTTTTTGTTTGTATATTTAAAAAGTTTTAATATTTAAAAATTCAACTCAAAAATAAATTCTTGGCCAGGCACAGTGGCTCACACCTGTAATCTCAGCACTTTGGGAGGCCAAGGCAGTGGATCATGAGGTCAGGAGATCGAGACCATTCTGGCTAACATGGTGAAACCCCATCTCTACTAAAAAAATACAAAAAAAATTAGCTGGGTGTGGTGGCGGACACCTGTAGTGTCAGCTACTCGGGAGGCTGAGGCAGGAGAATGGTGTGAACCCAGGAGGCAGAGCTTATAGTGAGCTGAGATCACGCCACTGTACTCCAACCTGGTGACAGAGCAAGACTCTGTCTCAAAAAATAAAAAAATTAAAAAAAAAATTTCAGTTGGCAGAACTTTGCACTATGCACCTTGTCATTCACTTTGCATGGAAAGAGAAGAGACTCATAGTAAGAATGTACTGACTCATGGTCAAATGGCTTGGCTACAGTTCAGGGGGATGGAAGGAGAAAATTTGGAAGACTGGAGAAAAAGACATCTGAGAAAAGGACATATGGGTGGACTTATGGGGATGTACAAAAAGTATGAAGATCTTTGTTTCACATGTTAACACCTACAAGAGGTATCTATCAACAACCAAGGAGAAAAGTGACTCAGCCAGATGATGTTAGCCAACCTCTTCCATTGGCCAGCTCAGTACTGGTGAATAAATATAGTGACAAGGATGGAGGCTATGCAGAGGCCCAAACAGCAGAAGTCTCCACTGACTAAGTCTTATCTAGCTACTGCTGCTTCCGAATGTCAAAGTTGTCATCAAGACAGAGCAACACTGAGGCCTCAAGATAGCATCATCGCTCAAGGACACCAAGTTGCCACCTGGTGGCAAGCTGAATGCACTGGATTCTTTCCATCACAGGAAGGGTAATGATTCTTCTTGGCTGGAACTGATACTTATTCTGAGTATGGATTTATCTTTCCTACTTACATGGCCTCAACCAGCACCACTATCCAAGGGTTGACAGAATGTTTAATCCTCCAATATGGAATCCTACACATCCTTGCATTGTACTTTATAGCACTGTATAAAGGGAATGTACTTTGTAGCACTGTAGTTGCAGTGATGGACACACGAAAATGCAATTCAGTGATCCTACTACAAATCACGAAATCACAACAGCTAGAAGCTGTCAAACTGATGGAGTGATGGAACAGCCTCCAGTAGCCCTTTGAAGCTGCAGGGATGGGATACAAGCATATATCCTAGATCAGTAACCATTATGTGGTCCCATGTTGCTAATAGAAAGAGGACCATGGATTGAAGAAAGAGTAGCACTATTTACCGTCACCGCCAGGGATTCACTTAGGAAATTTCTGCTTCTTATCTCTGCAATTCAATGCTGTTACACAACGGAAGTAGACAGGAATGTGTTTGGCAGCCAAGGGATGTTTAAGTAGTCCCTTACTAAATTTTGATTGCTCAATTTAAAAGGACAAGTCTAGTAGCCATGGCTACTACACCCTCCTCTCCTATCTCCAGGTAAGTGACCTAGACCAGTGGAGGTGCTAGCTGAGGGTGAGAATGTAAACCTGATAGTACCTGTATCGTAGGAAAGGCAGATGATCACTTTTATCACTGATAAAAGACCAGTTGAAGAGCCAAGGAGCTATTGTTCCCTCCATGAATGTTACTTTCACGTTTCCCCGCAAAAAAAACCAACCAAAATCCTGGAGGAGCTAATCCTAGATGAAGAGAGGTTATATGAAGTCATGGATCCAAATGACACGAGGGATGGACAGAGTAGTGTATTCTGTGCTGTGTAGTCCAGGCCTCCCTGCAGAATGGAGACCCTCATTCCCCAGCTTCCTTAGAGTGCTGTCTGTTGAGGGCACACGACTAAGTTCATGCCCTAGGAATTGCCCTCAGGCCAAAAGGAACTGTGTAGTAGAAGTCACATCCTTGGGGCAAGAAATTAGTTTGAATTCATATTGATTGTTGTCAACAAAATTTTAAGTACTGTATGGTATGTGCGTGAAAGGAAAAGAACATTTGAAATGAGCTAATGTAGAGCGGATCTGTTGGAGAACTATTGGTGAATAATGATGATGTGGTCACTGAGGGTCACTGAAGTTCACAGGGTTATTTGAACAGAAAACATCTGGGAGAGGTGGATTTGACACTCAGATTGGGGGACTGCACAAATAATAAGGTATCTGGGCTTCAGTTTTCTCATCTAGAACATGAGGGACTAAAAGACTGCCAAGTATCTTCCAGCTTCTATATTCTGTAATGCTTAAGTACTCTGCAGAATATTAAAACGAACAGCACTGGGAGATAGTCCGTGGGCTTGAAAAGTGAGGAAAAACAGAAACTGCCAGGGAGAGTTTGTTAAAACCTTAAAAACCTGTGCACGGCTGTTTATAACAGTTGTATTCATAACTGCCAAAACTTGGAAGCAACCAAGATATCCTTCAGTAGGTTAATGGCTATGCAAACTGTGGTACATCCAGACAAGGGAATATTATACAGCACTAAAAAGAAATCAGATATTAAGCTAAGAAAAGACATGGAGAAGACTTAAATGTATATTGCTAAGTAAAAGAAGCCAGCATGAGAAGGCTATATATTGTATGGTTCTAAGTGTATGACAATCTGGAAAAGGCAATACTATCATGTAGAAACATCAGTGGTTTTCAGCAATTTGCAGAAAGTAAGAGAGGGATACATAGGTGGAACACAGAGGATTTTTATGGTGATGAAACTATTCTATATGATACTGGTGGATATCTGTCATTATACAGTTGTCAAAATTCACAGAACTTTACAACACAAAGTGTGAACGCTAATGTAAACTATGGACTTCAGTTATAGTAATGTATCAATATGTATCAATTGTAACCAATATACCACATTAATACATGGTGTTAATAATAGGGGAAATTGTGTACAGAGGTAGGGATTGGGTGGAGAGTGGGATAGGAAGGTAGTGTTACATGGGAATTCTGTGTACTTTCTGCTCATTGGTTTCTGTAAACCTAAAATTGCTCTAAAAAACAAAGTCTACTAATTTTGAGAAATTTGATGAAGAATAAATATTCATGTAGTACCAAGGTATAATCTCAGAGATCACTGGCTAATTACAGAGGAAAATATACCATTACGATATAGACATCTGGCAATCACCTACTTAATTTAGGAATGAAAATTAACATCACTGGCAGTGGGACAACCAGACATAAACTTCGTAATGTGCCACTATTGGAAGTATACAACATCACCTTTGAATGATTCTGGCCAAAAAAGTTTAACCTGAATGTAACCAAGTCTTTAAATTTAACTTCAAATTTCAGAAAATTGAGGGGATAGACAAACAAACTAAATGAAACCATGAACAGTCCCACAATTCCAGAATGTGAGATATTCTACGTGACAACTAGCATGGTTCCTTTAAAATGTCAATACCGGCTGGGCACGGTGGCTCGCACCTGTAATCCCAGCACTTTGGGAGGCTGAGGAGGGTGGATCATGAGGTCAGGAGATCAAGACCATCCTGGCTAACGTGGTGAAACCCTGTCTCTAGTAAAAATACAAAAAATTATCTGGCCGTGGTGGCAGGCGCCTGTAATCCCAGCTACTAAGGAGGGTGAGGCAAGAGTATCTCTTGAACCCAGGAGGCAGAGGTTGCAGTGAGCCAAGATCACGCCACTGCACTCTAGCCCGGTGACAAAGCAAGACTCCGTCTCAAAAAAAAAAAAAAAAAAAGTCTATGCCATTTAGCAAGGGATTAAGTATGGAGAAATGTACTGGATTACAAAATAAGAGACAAAAACAAAATGTAGTGTCCAGTTCTCGATTGGATCCTGGCTTTTAAAAATTGCTATAATTGGGAAACAATTAAGAAAATGTGAATCATAGGGTGTAATTATGCAAACCTAGATGGTATATATACGTATATTTTTGAGACAGAGTCTCACTGTGTCACCCAGGCTGGAGTGCTGGTGCGATCTCAGCTCACTGCAACCTCAGCCTCCCAGGTTCAAGCAATTCTCGTGCCTCAGCCTCCTGAGTAGCTGGGATTACAGGCACCTGCCACTGCACACGGCTAATTATATTTTCAGTAGAGATGGGGTTTCACCATGTTGGCCAGGCTGGTCTCAGACTCCTGACCTCAGATGATCTGCCCACCTTGGCCTCCCAAAGCGCTGGGATTACAGGCATGAACCACTACATCCGGCCCTATATATTTTCACTTATTTATTTTTTATAAGGAAAATCAAATGTTCCAGCACCACTACTGAGCATCAGTCATTTCCTCTACTTGAGCTGCAATGCCAATATCAAGGGCCATATACTGTTTATCAAGTTTCTATATATGTTCCAGTTTAATCTTATGAGACCACCACAGTGTAGATGGTCGACTAGTTGACTGAAATGTGTTACATGGGGCATGACTGTTTATATTTGAAAATATTTGGGAGTTGAATAATTGTAAGGAATTACTGATAACTTGGTGTGAAAGGATAAGGGAATTGTGGTTATGTAAGAAAATGGCTTTAGTTTTTGAATATGCAGGCTTAAGTATACACAGGCAAATTAGCATGATGCCTATAATTTACTTTTAATTCAAATCGAAAAATTACATAAAGAAAACTTGACAAAATATTAACAATTAATTGGATTTAGGTGGTGGTTATGTGGGTGCCCATTTTTTCTACCTTTCTGTAGGCTCCAATGTTTCATAATTAAAAGGGAAAAAACGGGGCCACAAGAGAAGGTACAATTAAACATTAATGGGTCCCTTCTCCCAAGCGGTTAGTGCCGAGAGTGTGGAGTGTGTTCTCCAGGATCAGCACATATTTATTATCTTGAAAAATCCATTCCCCCAAAAAAAATCCCATGAAAAAAACTTAAAAAAAAAAGGTTTCTGTTTTAACACCCGTCACCCCTGCAAAACACTTTACAAAAAAATCCTTGTCTTCACTGCCAGAGACATTTTCCTTTTCTTCTTGTATAAGATCGCCCGTGAGGCAGCCGAGAGCGACCCACCCGCCCACTCGCAGCTCCGAAGCAGCTTCAAGAAGGAACAGGATCCCGAGGCCTGGACGCTGGACCCTACACCGCCACCCTCGTCCCAGCCCGCTGCAGGCCGCAGTTCCTCGGGAATGGAGTAGTTTTAGATTCCAGGTGATTTTGTCTCTCTGCGCTGGCCCAGGCTTCCGCCCCAGCCCTTACTCTCCTTTCACGGAAAGGTCGCAGCCGGTGGCCCTACCGGCAGACAGGTGCAGAGGTGAGCCCAGCATCCCAGCCATCCCCTGTCCTCGCACCGCACGTGACCAGGCCTGCTGGCTGGTCCTCTCTATCACGGGCTACAGGAACCAGATCACCGGCGCTCCTTGGGAAACGCAGGATGTGGAATGTCCTTAAGACCCCATGAATTTTGATATTATAAAAGACTAGCTAATACACACTAAGTAGTCTCGGTGTGATCCATCACTCCGCAAAAATGGAGTGGGCAACATGTTCATAAAAAAATTGGACAAATCTATTGATTATAAAGCATTGCATGATACATCTGCTTTTGGTAACATCTTTTTGTTGCAGAAAAAACCAGGTTCTTGTCATACTACCAGGAAAAGGCACGCAAACACTTGAAGGGTGAGGGGGAACGGAGTTTATTGGGTGGAAAGGAAAAAGGAAAAATAACTCTTAGCAAAGAGAGAAAGAGTCCTGCTAGCGGGTTTCCCGCCTCATAGATTAAATCCTAGGTCACTACATGGGAAAAGGCCAGACTCCTCTCCACTGCACACTGCACAAACTTCCCGAGGCTCCACCCCGTAATCCCAGTGCGCAGGTGGGCATTATTCAGAATCAGTGAGGAAAGGGCGGCTTCAACCAGGACCTGCAGTCCAGTTTATCAGCCTTCAGGCTGTTTTTGTCTTGAAGGTAAGGTTTTACCAGGGGACCCTTGGCTGCCTCCTGTCTTCATCACTTTCACATTAGGTGCTTTGTGGTGAAAACGGTTTCAAGGGTGATGGCACTGTACATTTTGAGACACAGAAGCAGCTGAAAGATCTATTCAAAAATGAAATGGATGCTTCTAAATGATAGCAAAGTCTTTGTTGGATTAAGTCTTGTAAACAATGAGAAGCAGAACTCAGAGTTAAAAAGTTCACCAATGTTTACAGGAAGATTTTTGGAGAAGACATGGATGGTAGGTGCCTTAAAGATCTCTTTGGCAAGTTGGGATCTGTCTTAAGTGTGATAGTAGTGGTTAATGAAAGTGGAAAACCCAAAGGTTTTGGATTTGTCAGCTTTGAAAGGCATAAAGATGCGCAGATGAGATGAACAGAAAGAAGCTCAATGGAAAACAAATTGATGTTGGTCAAGCTCAGAAAGAAGGAGAATTGCAGATGGAACTTGTGTGCAAATTTGAAAAGATCAAGCAGTATAGGATCACCAGATAACAAAGTGTTAACATTTATGCAAAAAATCTTGATAGTATTGATGAATGTCTCTGGAAAGAACTTTCTCCACTTGGTACAATCACCAATGCAAAGGTTATGAAGGATGGTTGTCACAACAAAGGGTTTGATTTGTGTATGTTTCTCCTCTCCAGAGGAAGCAACTAAAACACTTTCAGAAATGAATGGTAGAATTGTGGGCACTGAGCCATTGTATATAGTGTTAACTCCATGGGAAGAAAAGCAATGAAGAGCACCAGGCTCAGCTCATTAACCAGTACACTATGTGCAAAGAATGGCAAGTGTAAAAACTATGCTCAACCTGGGAATCAGTCCCTATCAGCCAGCACCTTCTTCAATTGACTTCATGGCAGTTATCCCACAGACTGAGAGCCATGCTGCAAAGTATTCTCCTAGCCAAACTGCTCAACTAAGTTCAAATCCTCCCTAAATTGCTCAGGGTGCCAGACCTCATCCATTGAAAAATATGCCCAAGCCACTCCTAGCTCACTACATTTAGTAGTAAGAGACCAGCTTCTTCACAGCTTCCACGAGTCATGTCAACACAGCTGTTGTAACACATCGACACAGACAATAGGAGCACATCCTGCAGTTGCCGCTACTGCTACTACAGATACTCCTGCTGTTTGTACCATTTCACAGTATAAATATGCTATGGAAGCTCACAATCCTCAATGATATTTTCATGCACAGCCCCAGGTTACCATGCAGCAGCCTGCTGTTCATGTAGAAGGTCAAGAACCTTTGACTTCCATGATGGCATCTTCTCCTCCTCAAAAGCAAAAGGAAACGAGTGAATGGCTGTTTCCTCTTCTTCAAGCCACGCCCTAGTCGTGCTGGTAAAATCATTGGCATGTTGGTGGAGATTGGTAATTTAGAACTCCTTCATATGCTTGAATCTCCAGATCCTCTCTATACTAAGGTTGACAAAGGTATAGCTGTACTACAAGAGCACCAAGCTAAAGAGGCTGCCCAGAAAGCAGTTAATGGTGCCACTGGTGTTCCAATTGTTTAAAACTGATCAGGGACCACAGAAAGAAACTTGAGCATCACTGAAGAAAAATATCTCAATATCGAAAACCTTAAATATTATGGAAAAAAATTGTAAAGTATAAAATAAATTTAAAAAGGAAACTTTGAACTTTACATACCAAGCAAATGTCAGATCTAACAAATGCAATGATAGTCTTAGATTACTTATTGATTTGAAAAGAAAAATTCCTCCCAAAATAATAAAATATAAAAACACTGTAATGCTTTTCAGACTCTGTGATAAATAATTTTCAGAAAAGTATAAAAATTTAAAACATTCCTTTAATTTTGTAATTCATTAGTGTGGAATAGCTAAGAATGTCACTTCTGTTTTAAGTAACAGAATTGATAACTGAGCAAGGAAAGGTAATTTGGATTATAAAATTTTGCTTTAATAAAAATTCCTTAAACAGTGAAAAAAAATAGGCAAAGATACAAAAAAAAGTTTATAAGAAACAACAATCTTGTATTTGTTTGTTATTTTATTTTATTTTATTTTATTTAATTTTTTGAGATGGAGTCTCGCTCTGTCACCCAGGCTGGAGTGCAGTGGCGTGATCTTGGCTCACTGCAACCTCTGCCTCCCAGGTTCAAGTGATTCTCCTGCCTCAGCCTCCTGAGTAGCCGGGACTACAGGCACCTGCCACCATGCCTGGCTAGTTTTTTGTATTTTTAGTAAAGACAGGGTTTCACCATGTTAGCCAGGATGCTCTCCTTCTCCTGACCTCCTGATCCACCCGCCTTATCCTCCCAAAGTGCTGGGATGGTGTGAGCCACTGTGCCCAGCCTTATTTGTTTAAATACTATAAACACTAATATCATACACATGGTTAACTGGTTGTAATTTTTAAATTATATTAATAAATTTTTATGAAAACATTTTATAAATAAACTTAAAATTTCAAATAAATAACAACATCTGCCAC
Organism: Homo sapiens; assembly: GCF_000001405.40. NCBI lineage: Eukaryota > Metazoa > Chordata > Mammalia > Primates > Hominidae > Homo > Homo sapiens. The sequence goes on from NW_021160000.1 coordinate 312,096, forward strand.
ACTACCTTAAAATGGCGACTATTTCAGTATAATAAACGTATATCACATACACTTAGAGAAAGTTCAATAAATAAAGAATAAAAAGAATAGGTACAACAATTTTCCTCCTAATCAAAAGCACAATTCCTCATTTTGAAAATTATTTCTTATCTCTCTTTTATTAAAATAAACTTTCTACTTTGAAATCTAATCCTCTTGTGAATGTAAAATACTATCTTGTAAATATATATATATATACATATATTTTATTATTATTTTTTTTTGAGACAGAGTCTTGCTCTGTCTCCCAGGCTGGAGTGCAGTGGTGCGATCTCAGCTCACTGCAACCTCTGCCTCCTGGGTTCAAGCGATTCTCCTGCCTCAGCCTTCTAAGTAGCTGGGATTACAGGTGCGTGCTACCACACCTGACAAATTTTTGTATTTTTAGTAGAGACGGGGTTTCACTATGTTGGTCAGGTTGGTCTCGAACTCCTGACCTCGTGATCTGCCCGCATTGGCCTCCCAAAGTGCTGGGATTACAGGCATGAGCCACAACAGCCTGCCCATATTTTTATTTTTTTATAAGTGACAATGAGATGTCCTCATGATTTAAATAGTAGTCAAAACACTGGCACAGTTTAAATTTTTAGAATTTGAGTACTAGAATTACAATATTTGAAAATGGAGTCTGTACTTTGTTGTAAAACTATAAAGAGAAAATGTCACTAAAACAGTAGCTATTTTATCTTTTCCCAGAGTTATTCTCCCAGAGTGTATTTTCTAAGAGTTATTTCCCAGACGGTTTTAGAACTTTTGGCAGTTTCGGTGATATATTCTATAAAAGCCCTTAGTCTTAATAGGAATAACACATAGTTTTGATTGCCTTAAATTTTAATTGCTTCACTTGGCAAATTTATGTGTAAATTTCATATTCTGTGGTATTTTAATATCTTGCTTGTGGAGAAGAGGAAAAAGAGGAATGAAAGTAATATTCAGTCCTTGCATTGAGCTTTTCCCAAAGAAGTCCAAACAATTTCTAAAATGCCTTTCAATAAGGCCATTTTAGAAGTGTTTATATGACTCTTATAACTTTAAAATAAAGAGTCTTGAAGTTAATTAAAACTCACTTTGCTTATGATGGGTTCTACATTAACATGGCAGATTTAATCAGCCAGAATTAAAAGGTAATTCTGTATTACTAAGGAGAAGAAACTGCCACATGACAGTAGTCTCCAAATCTTTCATTTTTGGAGGCTGCCTTTTATGCCTAGATTTTAAAACACTAATTGAAAAAAATATAGTTTACTTCCATTTGTGATTTAATTTTATTTCTATAAATAAATATATAGATAGTGTTTCATCTAAAAACTGCTAAACCAGACTTTCATTTTAAGGGCATGGCAGAAATAAGGAAAGACTAACTTGGTTCTATTACTTAACATATTATTTATTCAGGTAGTCACCAAAACCAGAATTTAAAATCTATTCAGTTAACCCATTTAAAGTTGATGTGTTTTACTCCTTTTTTTGGTAGTGATCTTTTTAACTGAATTACTGGACATCATGGGGAGTTCTACTCCTCCTATTTGGAAACTTAGGCTATCTTACCAAGTTCAATATTCAAAGTTTTTCTTTCTGCCATTAAGTTTGTTTAATTTTATATTAAGCTCAGTTTGTATTATGATATCAAATTCAGCCTGAGGGATTACTTAAACTTTCCTAAGGTATTTACAGATTTAATTTGTTCTTACAGTATGTAAATACCAAGAGAGCATTCCATTTAATATTATTTTTATTAAATTAACTTTGGAGTAAAAAGTCCAAGAAAAGCCCTGTACTGAAATCACATGTTTACTAAATCCTGGATTTTCTGTACAGTCCCTACATATTTCTACTTTAAAATTCTTCTGTCATGTGAAATAATTCATTAAAAGAAGCAGGCAGATGATGACAGGTAAACTTTTTAATGATGTTCTAATGTTGACAATTGCAGTTTTATTTTGCTTGGATCATAATGGCGTGTAAGCATTTTAGGCCCCAGAATGCCCATAAGTAGAGCTCCATTTGGAGCTGTGATCGAGATGGCTAAAAATGCTACTGACATCACATCCTTCGCATATGGTTCCAAGTGGGGTGCAGAGACTCTTGCTGTTTCTAGAGCCAGAGGACCTAACACAGCCTACATTTAGGGGTAAAAATGGGGGATAAAGAAAAATATTAAACTGAGTTAATATATAATGTAAATGGCTCTGTTAAAATAAACAAGATCTAGTACTAGACTATTAGAAAAAAAAAGTACTCAGTAATTATCATAAGTTACTCATCAGTTCCATGTTCTTCCTAGCAAATATATGTGGAGGAAGAGTACAATAGTGACAAATCAACATGCAAACATTTTTGGGCTGATTTTGCACTCTTGTCCTCTCAGTGTTCCTCTATTCAAATATCTCTTTTGAGTGTTGCCCTCATAACACCAGGAGTTCTAACGAAACCAGTTTTGCTTAGTTGCCTTTATCGTGTACCAGTAGTTTTTGACTACAAGAAGACAAAATAAAATATTAAGTTTTCTTATGGTTCTCTAGGATTTGTTGCCCTTCTTCTCATTGTTCTCCTTATTCAGGGGGCACTGGGTTATAGCAGAACTGACAGCAGGCTTGGAATCTAGCAAACTGGGTTTGAATTCTATTTTTGCTGCAACCAGGCTAGTGACCTTGTACAAATGACTCACACTCTCTAAACTTCTACTTACTTACGTGTAAAACGAAGAACAAAATACTTATCTTACTGGACGGTTGTGAAAATTAAATATGAGAATGTGAAGAATACCTGGCACAGATTAGGTATTCAGATAGTAGTAAGTTTCTTTCTCCTTCACTCCTCATCCCCTGCCAGGTCAGAGAATGAGTTCCTTGAAGTTTTTGTTTTAGAATGACTACTGGGTCACAAGATTTTTCCCTAGTTACCTTCTACCACATTATTTTTAATAACATAAAGCAAATTTCTTGTAAGTCTCTTTCCTTGTGTTTAATAACAAGGCATGAAATTGCCTTAAAATTTGGGGGAATTAAATACCAATATATAACATATTTTCTATGGAGTTGCAAAGTAACAACATAATGGTAGAAACATTACCTCTGATATGGAACATTATGGCAAAAGAACCCCTCAATTTAAGATCAATTTCTACATCCTAAATCAATAATTTAAAATGGTATTATTTTTATATCATAACTTTTAATGTACTGAACATGATCCATTGTGCTGGAGGATGCTAGGGAGAAAAAAAAATCATGCAGGAAACCACCTTGAAAGAATCTCACAGTTTAGAAGAGGATTTGAACATAAAAGAACTGCCAACAGAAAAAACAAAAACAAAAACCAAACCCACTGACTTTTAAGAGATGATGACGATAATGGTGAAACTAGAAATAATATTTTTATAGTTTTATGGCATTCATCATATGTCAGGTATCATTCTTAAAGCTTTCCATTTATCAATTCATTTAATCCTTATGACAACCTTATTATGTGAGGACTTTTATTAGATGATAAATGATTTCCTCCTAGTGACTGAGATTTAATACTCTTTCTTTAAAAACATCCAATTGCCAAGCTGATCTCACATTTGTAAACTAAATTATTTATTTACTCTCCTAATAGCTTCTATTTTTCCAGTCTAACTTTTATCAGTAACTCGAAACTAAAGAACAAGAGAAAGCTGAACCTTAGCCAATTTTATTTTAGCAGCAGAGAATGGCGGAAGAGGATAAAGGTGAAAATAATTTAAAATTGAAATTTAAATATTTGTTGATCGTATTTACTTGTGACATTATTGTTATCTATTATTGTTGTTGTGACTCTACTTGTATAAATAATTAATTTTTTATGTCTTGCCAGTTCCTGGGACCGGCTTGATATTCTTTGTGTAGAAGCCAGCCTGGAGCCAGCAGACAGGAATAGGCAGAAGCAGAATAATACTGCAGGACTAGAGTGAGTGGTCTCTTTCCTCATACCTGCTTTTCTTTTTTCCCTGCTTTATGAAAATTATGAAATAATGAAATAAAATTGCAAGAGTATTGTTGGAAGGAGAGAGAACAGATACTCCTTTTGTAGATTTATTATTCCCTACAGTAGACATTAAAAATAAAAAGTTATTATTTATATTACTTGAAGGTAAGATAAAATAACAACATTGTTTGTTAACTGAGCACCACCATATGCCAGAGAGAGTGCTAAGCACTTTACGTGGATTATCTCATTGAATCCTGACAACACTGCTAAGAAACAGATACATTCATAGACTTCATTGCAAGATGAGAACACTGAAGGACTGAGAGACTAGAAAATAATTTTCCTGAGGTTATAGGCAAGTAACATGGTATTCAAAACAGGTAGTCTGGCCCTATGAGCCTGCTTTTCTAACAACTAAGAAAGAGCCACAGGAAATTAAGGTATATTATGCTGCCAAGTTAAACAGTCTAACAAGAAGTAGCAATATATTTTAGTAGGAGGAGAATCTCCTTGAATAACAGGGCAAAATTACAAGGTTTCCCTTTCTGTTCATTCATCCTTGCAGGCATGCAATACGTATTTGTCTCCTGCATGTCAGGCACTGTGTTAAGTGCCAGGGAGAAATAATGAAAAACAACTGCAACAACTAGACACTGTCCCTGTCCTTACGTAGTTTATCAAGGGGGCAGGGGCAGGGATTTAGCCATTAACCAAATAGTATACAAATAAATGTGTAATTAAAAAAATATATGCACATTTGTGTGATGGAGTGAGTGGCAAGGTAGGAAAAGTATTTTTTAAAAAATCAATGTGTCTCTATTCTACTTTACTTTTTTTTGTGACAGGGTCTCACTTTGTCACCCAAGCTGCAGTGAAGTGGCATGACCTCAGCTCACTGCAGCCCCAAACTCCCGAGTTCAAGCAATCCTCCTGCCTCAGCCCCCAAGTAGCTGTGACTACAGGTGTGTGCCACCACACCTGACTAATTTTTTTGTATTTTTTGTAGAGACAGGGGTTTTACCATGTTTCCCAGGCTGCTCTTGAACTCCTGAGGTCAAGTGATCTGCCTGCCTCAGCCTCCTGAAGTGCTAGGATTACAGGCATGAGCCTCCATGCCTGGCCTTTGTCTCTACTTTTTAAAATCATAACATTTAGCTTTGTTATATTAAGCAAAATATAAAAACTCCAATTTTCAGATATATTCTTATTATATATTTTAGGAAAAAAACATATTTTCATAAACTTAGAAAGTACTTATTGAAAGAATACTTTTTGATTTCAAAATAATTGCTTTTAAAACTGAGATTTCAAAAGGTTACGTTGGCTGTGCCCAGTGGGTTATGCCTGTAATCCCAGAACTTTAGGAGGCTAAGGCAGGAAGATCACTTGAACCTAGGAGTTCAAGATCAGCCTGGGCAACATAGCAAGACCTCCTCTTTACAAAAAAATCAGAAAGAAAAGGCCAGGCACAGTGGCTCATGCCTGTAATCCCAGCACTTTGGGAGGCTGAGGCAGGCAGATCACTTGAGGTCAGGAGTTTGAGACTAGCCTGGCCAACATGGTGAGACCCCATATCTCCTAAAAATACAAAAATTAGCTAGGTGTGGTGGTGTGCACCTGTAATCCCAGCTACTGAGGAGGCTGAGGCAGGAGAATCGCTTGAACCTGGGAGGTGGAGGTTACATTGAGCTGAGATCATGCCACTGCACTCCAGCCTGGGCAACAGAGTAAGACTGTCTCAAAAAAAAAAAAAAAAAAAAAAACTGAAAAAAAGCAGTTGGGTGTGGTGGCAGGTGACTGTGATCCTAGCTACTCAGGTTTATGTGAGAGGATTGTTTCAGCCCAGGTGGTTAAGGCTGCAGTGAGCCGTGATCATGCCACTGCACTCCAGTTTGGGTGACAGAGTGAGACCTGGTCTCAAAATGAAAATAAAAATGAAAATAGAAAAATGTTACATTGTTTCTTTGTTTGTTTTTATTTATTTATTTATTTTTTTTTTGAGATTGAGTCTTGCTCTGTCACCCAGACTGGAGTACAGTGGTGCCATCCCAGCTTACTGCAACCTCCACCTCCTAGGTTCAAGCAATTCTCCCATCTCAGCCTCCTGAGTAGCTGGGACTGGTTACGTTAATTTTAATGAATAGTTATGATCAATCAAACATTTAAAAAGTAAGGATAATAGCTCATATTTTGTGATTGGAGTAACATTTTTCATTTTAAATTTTAAAAGCATCAAAACGAAAGCATTAAGCAATAGGCTTAATATGTTCTTACCTGTACTGTAGCTTTGGGCATCCATGCTAAAGCAATAAATATTTTCTCCTTAAAACTAAAACCAGCAAAGCACATCAATAGATATGTGGTTAAAATTCGAACACATAATGCCAAACTCAGAGTGGCAACAGATATGCTTACAGCAGATGAAAACATAAATAACAAAATATTTGTGAAGAAGTGTTCTTTATGCCCAGGAATATGATTTTTAAAACTTTTGAAAGCATTTTAAGGCTACTGTCTCTTCATGTGTTTAATTTTTACATAAAACAATCATAATAAAAAATGAATATGATGGAGGATTCTCTGTAAAGTGCAAGACAGTATCTGATGGTGGAGATACCATGAAAAATAAGACACATGACATTTATACAATTCTGAACTAATAGACTTTTTTTGAATACTTTTATTATTATTAATAATAGTTTACTTTTTGAGAAGGATTCTTGCTCTGTCGCCCAGGCTGGAGTGCAGTGGTACAATCTCAGCTCACTGCAACTTCCGACTCCCGGGTTCACGTGATTCTCCTGCCTCAGCCTCCTGAGTAGCTGGGGTTACAGGCACGCACTACCACACCTGGCTAATTTTTGTATTTCTAGGAGAGATGGGTTTCCCCATGTTAGCCAGGCAGGTCTTGAACTCCTAACTTCAAGAAATCTGCCCGCTTCGGCCTCCCAAAGTGCTAAAATTACAGGCATGAGCCACAACACCCAGCCAATAGTTTTAATGAAAGTACTCAAACAGTGCTGATCGTATCAAATACGTTCCCTCAGGAAAGAAATCTTATATTTATTTCCTTAGATAACTCAGGGAAGATATTCAGGGCTGTCCTTGGTTTAAAAAAAAAGAGCACACAGTGTAAAGGAAGAGCAATATGAAAATATGACACTGTATCAACATGTGTTTCTGAAGAAGGTCCTTGTAGCCATTCAAAGATATATTGTAAATAAAAATAAATGTATTTATAATTTTCTTAAATATTTTTGAATTTCATATTTTTTGTGCTCTAATTATTCTTACCAACAATATTTGATTCAAGCGATGAAACAGATACTTCTGCTCCAACTAAACCAAAAAGAAGTGGTTGAAAAATATCCCATACATTTGTAATAATCTTTTGGACTTTCATCTATAGAAAAGAGAAATACATTTATAATTATTTTGGCACATAAATATATTTCAGAAAGTTAAAGTCTCCCTCACCTTTTTTTTTCACTTTTTAAGTATTTTAGAGATGGGGTCTTGCTCTGTTGCCCAGGCTGGGGTGTAGTGGCATAATCTTAGCTCACTGTAGCCTTGAACTCCTGGGCTCAAGTGATCCTCTCGCAGTCTCCCAAGTAGAACGACAGGTGTGTACCACCATGGTGGGCTAATTTTTAAATTGTTTATAGAGATGGGGTCTCGCTATATTGCCCAGGATGGTCTAGAACTCCTGTCTTCAAGTGGTCTCTGGCTGTGGCCTCCCAAAGCACTGGCATTATAGACATGAGCCACCATGCCTGGCCTAAAGTCACTTAACATTTAATAAATTTAAGACACTTTATTTTAATAAAAATATTAAACTTAATAAAAACTGAGCACTTCAATAGTTTTACTCAAACACTTAGGTAGAATTTGATTAAAAGAAACTCACAAAGCAATAAAATAATACTATTTGGCCATTTTGTCACAGAATAAGTGATGTCTTTAGGGTTCTAGCCATGTTTCATATGAGTTCCAGATTTTGTCTCTAAGTTAACTGAATAGAGATAGAACTACATCATGCCTGATGAGAACATACCCAGTTCATGCAAACATTTGGGTTCTCAGAAGGGGGTTGGGAAGCCTTCCACTAACAACCATCCTGGAACTCAATGCCATTAAAGTGAATCCTGATATATATAGCATATACTACTAGGAAAAACAATTTGGAAGTCTGCTAGGCCTGCTTCCAAAGAACCCATGTTGAATACTTTAAAGTTACTTTTTCCTTAAAACAAAACCAAAACATATATTAGATTCTCATTTAGCTGCCTACCCAGCTTCCCCTTCTGGAAACGAATGCCTCCCAGTGCTACTTCCCCAATTAAAAGGTTACAGGAAAGGCCCCTATTGGCCTACATTACTCTGGCTCTTCTCCAGGAATTTGGATGAAGAGATTTCAGTCTCAGTCTGGGTTTAATTTTTTTCTTTAAACAGAAGATACATAAGTACTTTGATGTCTCTTCCTTGAGGCAAAAACTATCTTCACAACTATTTCCCTTATGACTGTGTTTTCTGATCCCCACTTTTTATAGTTTAAAAAAAGAAAAACAAAGAAAAAAGATGTTACCACTCTTTACAGCATAATTATCCTGTTCGTTACTTTAAATCTTTAAAACTTGTTTTGGTTCTGTTTCTTTTACCATTTAAAAAAATTCTAGCAGTTTCAATTTTATTTATTGATTTGCATTTCATTCATTTCATTTCTTTTATAATTATGATTATACAAGAATACTAAGCAAAATGCCACTATGATTTTTGATTAGGGAACTTCTCAAGTTGATTCTAAAATTTATCTAAGGAAGAATATGTGTAGGAGCAGCCAAAAAATACTTTAAAAAGAAGTATAATCTATATTAGATTTTGACACATAAAACTGCAGTGATTTAAAACAGAGGTGTTGGCATAGAAATAGAGAAGTAGGATTAAACAGACCACAATTAATATATATGGGAGAATTTAGTTCATGTTAAAAAACTGAATTATTAATGAATTGGTCAATAAATAAACAATTTGGCAAAAAATGACTGTCTAGTTTATGTGCATATATCTGTATGTACATATTCATCACATGCAATTATATATGTGTGTCTGAATATATATATATGTGTGTGTGTATATATATATACATATATATATATACACACACACATCAGCCATGATGTAGTTCTATCTCTGTTCAGTTAACTTACAAACTGTATATGTGTGTGTGTATATATACATAGTTTGTAAGATACACATATATATATATATATAACCTTACCTCACAGCATTCACAAAGATAAATTCCAGATAGATTAAAAGCCTAAATGAAAAAACAAATTAAACAAAAACTACCAAAATATTAAATGATAATACACAAAATAGTATATCTTTGTAATGTTTATATGTTATAATCTTCAGTGAGAAAGTCCTTCTTAAATGAGATGCAGAATCCAAAACCAAAAAAGGAAAACCCAATAGGTTTGGTCATAGGAAATTTTACTTTCATACACCAGACACCGTAAACAAAGTTGAAGATAAGCAAAAATTATATGCAATATATACATAACAAAGGATCAGTAGCCCTAACACTAAGAGAAACTATAAATTAGAAACAAGAAATAAATAACCCAATAAAAATGGTCAAAGAAGATCATAGGTATTTTAAAAAGAATATATGAAGAGAAGCTTACTATACTACTAATCGGAGAAATGTAAATAAAGAATAACAACATCACATAATTGTAAGAAACTATAAGAATTGGATGATGAGGTCATTTAATAGTAAAAAGAATAGAACTAGTGATAATATCAAGTGCTGTTGATGAGTTAAGGTATTAGATATTTTTGTGCACTGTTGGCAGAGTGTAAATAACCAAAATTTTTGAAGGGATAATTTAGCAGTGTCCATCAAAATAAAACACAGATCATTTCCAGCGAGGTGTGGTAGCTCATGCTTGTAATCCTAGCACTTTGCAATGTCAATTTGGGAGCATCCCTTGAGCTCAGGATTTTGAGACCAGCCTGGGCAACATAGACAGAGACTCTGTCTCAAAAAAAAAATCATTTCTAGAACTCTATTCCTACAGATGTACCTGTAATCCCAAAACTTTGGGAGGCCGAGGCAGGAGTATCACCTGAGGTCAGGAGTTCAAGACCTGCCTGGCCAAAATGGTGAAACCCCGTCTCTACTAAAAATACAAAAATTTGCTGGGCATGGTGGTGCGTGCCTGTAATCCCAGCTACTAGGGAGGCTGAAATAGAAAAATCACTTGAATCCAGGAGGTGGAGGTTGCAGTGAGCCAAGATTATGCTACTGAACTCCAGCCTGGGTGACAAGAGTGAAACTGTGTCTCAAAAAAAAAAAAAAAAAAAGACATGAACAACACTGTTTATGACAGCACTGTTTGTAAATAACAAAAAGTGGAAACTATCTTAATGTCTATAAATAGGACACTGGTTACTTAAAAAAATGTAAGGCGGTTAGATATTTGACAGTGGTGGGGAATAAAGAAATCTTTTACATTTTTTCTATGTTTTATTATTTTACAAGCATTTCTCTTTTTATTATTTATTTGTTTGTTTATTATTATTTTTTGTGTGTGTGATGGAGTTTTGCACTTGTTGCCCAGGCTGGAGTGCAATGGCATGATCTCGGCTCACTGCAGCCTCCACCTCCTGGGTTCAAGCAATTCTCCTGCCTCAGCCTCCTCAGTAGCTGGAATTACAGGTGCCCACCACCAAGCCACCATGCCCAGCTAATTTTTGTATTTTTAGTAGAGATGGGGTTTCACCATGTTGGCCACGCTGGTCTCAAACTCCTGACCCCAGGTGATCTGTCCACCTCAACCTCCCAAATTTCTGGGATTACAGGCATGAGCCACCGTGCCTGGCCTTTTACAAACATTCTTCATGGATTAATTGCATAATTAAAATTTCAATGAATAAAATAATTAAATTGATATAAGTAATATAATAATATTATATAAAACTTGGGAAAAAGAGAAGCCTGATGTGATTAACTCAACTTCTGATTCCATATTAGTATATTTCCAGCTGCTTTTATTAAATATTTTATTTCCTCGATTGATTCGTACTCTTTCTTGAGGATAGAAAACCTTTTGGAATATTTTCCAACCAGAATGAGGGGATTTCCTAAATATATGTAAAAAATTCGGTTGTCTTAGCTTTTAAAATATAGCATATTAAAAATATTCACCTTTTCTTGGGACCATTTTGTCCCTGCAATGAAACTCAACACTAATGTGCATAATCCTCCAGATCCATGTAAACCAATACGTTGGCTGCCTAAGACAGCAGAAACACACGTAGTCAAAACAAGGAATCCTCTCTTCAATGTAAGTTTTTTCTAGAATTAGATAGATATTTAGAAATTAGTTTATATTAAATATATAATACAAGATTTGACATTATCTATTACATATGTTTGACCCTTTGATATTATGTCTTTAAATGTTATATTAAATGTCTAAAATTTTGATTTTCTTTCTCACCATACATTTTAGCAGACTTACTACCAAGTAACAAAATTTCCAATTAGTAACGTTTCTTCTTCTGCCACATCTCTGATACTAGTATCAGTAAAATAGTTAAAGTATTACTTTAAGTGAAGAAGAAAAGAGACCCATAAAATCTCCAGTTTCATATAACATGTCCAATGAATTCTTAAAAAATATTTGAATATCTCTTTGGTCAATATGTTACAGCTAAATTTGGATGGAAATTACAGAAATACAAAAGTAATGGCATGTTTTCCTTTAAGGCAGGAAATGGCTAAGTTTGAGTGTTGCCTTTGTCAAAGGATAGCAGGAGTGAATTTCAGTCAGAAAATATGCAGAAATGAATGGGAACCTATCTCCCCCTAAAATGTTTAAGGGAAAATTTGGGGAAAATTATCAAACATCAATAGGCAATTTAGTAGAGAAAGGGAAAGTATAATTCAGAGGGATACTCTGCATTAAGTATAGTTTTTGACATTCCTTATTTGCAAAATCAGGAAGCAGAGACTTTAATCAAAGCCATTGACCTGTATCAATCACCGCTGTGCTCAGTTTTAAATACAGAGTAGGCATTGGAGGCTAGTTTTAGAAAAATAGAGTTAAGTATTAAATTTCATGGATCTTACCAAAGTTTAATATTTTGAAAAAAATGTCTAATACTATACTTCTATAAAATAGATTTTGTATTTAACTGGTCTTCACTTGGAAAATATCAAACAAAAAATCCCAAAACAATTCCTGCCAGCCGACTAATACATACGTTCCTTATAGAGGCTATGGCGTTATTAAGCTTACCACCTGTAGGGGCACACAATAAAGAAAAATTCACAAAGAAATATTTTCACATACACTACACATCAGAAAAGCAAATCTAGGTGGCTCATGAAGAAAAGTAAGCATTTTATAGAACAAATATATGCAAATGGTCTTTTTATAGTGACATGTATGAAAACACGTAGATCTATTTAGTACATTAAATATATACTCTCAAATAATTTAATATATACACACAACTCAGAAATGTCCATTATATAAATAGGCCAGAAAACAAAGACTTAACAAGCACAAGATGCTCCCCTTACATAGCCAATTTAAAAGACAGAGTGGGGTAGTCCAGGCGCAGTGGCTCATGTCTGTAATCCCAGCACTTTGGGAGGTTGAGGAGGGTGGATTACTTGAGGTCAGGAGTTCAAGACCAGCATGGCCAACATAATGAAGCCCCATCCCTAATAAAAATACAAAAATTTTGTGGGCATGGTGGCACACAACTGTAGTCCCAGGTACTCAGGAGGCTGAGGGAGGAGAATCACTTGAACCTGGGAGGCAGAGGTTGCAGTGAGCTGAGATCATGCCACCACACTCCAGCCTGGGTGAAAGATGGAGGCTACACCTCCAAAAGAAAAAAAAAGACCAAGTGAGGTACAAGAATGGAGAGAGACCAAAACACTTGTGGCACTTAGCATATGGCTGGTAAGGGCTATATTAACAATTCTTCTTTGATGTACTATATGAAAAAGAAACAAATGATTTTAACATGAAAAGAACAATGTAATAACAACATAAAAAATTTTGTTCCAGGGTCAGTCCCAGAAACATTCAAGGGTCATTTAAGATTTCAGTGTATTTAAGTTTCTGCTTTTGGTGAAGAAAAAAGGAAAAAAAAATACAAAAGATTCCAGTATATTTTATATTAATTAATATTAATATATCCATACTTGTAGTTCATTGTAATAAGTAAAAAGCAAAAAATAAAAAAAAACAGAATGAGTCACAAAAATAGTTCAGTTAAGCTCTGGGTAGTGGATTCAATATAGTACATAAGTATATTTTTAGATATATTTTCTACTAAATATAACAGGCAGCGCATGGTGGGCTCACACCTTTAATCCTAGCACTTTGGGAGGCCAAGGCAGAAGGATTGCTTGAGCCCAAGATTTGAGAGTAACTTGGGCAACAGAGTGAAACCCCATCTTCACAAGAAAATAAGAAATTAGCCGGGTATGTGTTGTGTACCTATAGTCCAAGTACTCAGTAGCCTGAGAGAGGAGGTCCCTTGAGCTCAGGAGTTCCAGGCTGCACTCTAGCCTGGCTGACAGAGCAAGATCCTGTCTCAAGGAAATAAAATATAATAAAAATAAAAAATAATATAAACAGAGTGATGTCAGCCAGATGGTGGAATGGCTCCAAACCTTGATTCTCCATAAAGATAGCAACTGAAAAACAATATATGGTCTAAAAGCCTTTATGGAGTTCCATAAACCATTAAGAAGTTGTAGTAGCACAGACAAGTGCAAAATCAAGAATAGTGGCATTGAACAAATAAGAAAAGCTGTTGCATTATACTCATGATACCCCTTCCCCAAGCTCGAACAGGTTGGTTTGGCTGGGAAGCACTCAACTTGCAGCTTCTCCGTTAGCAGGGAAAGAGAAGACTGGAACGGAATAGTTTTATGAGGTTACCTGAAGCTCTCTCTCTCTCTCTAACTTGACGCCCAACTGGCATACTTTGGATGCATGGGAACCACTGGGAATAAAGGAGAGGTCAGAGATGATGCAGCACCAGGGAACCTGCAGTACCACAGACAGATACCAGAGGGAACAACAGCTCCAGAAAAAGAAACTGGCAAACCTCTACTTGGGATGTTGCAATGTATAAACCCAAAGAAGATGCATTCCCAGAAAAAGTTTGAGAGGCTGCTGGAACCTATAGCCATGCTGATTCAGGTATGAAGGTCTTCCGTATGAAGCCAGCTGATAAAAACTGGGAGAAGTGGCAGTTTTTTCAAACACCCAAATCTTGGCAAAAATAAATAAAAAATAAAAAATAACAAGACATAAGAAGAAACAGAGAAACCTGATGACTAAATTAAAGGAGCAAAATAAATCTCCAGAAACCAACCCTAAAGAAATAGATAAATGAGTTACCTGACAAAGAATCCAAATTAACTCTCTTAATGAAGCCCAGTGACAACAGAAATAGACAACTAAGTGAAAGCAGGAAATAATTCATGAATAAAATGAATATATTAATGGAGATAGAAACTAAAAAAAAAAGGAACCATACAGAAACTCTGGAGCTAAGGAATACAGTAGCTCAATTGAAAAATTCCCTATCGGAAATCACCAATAGACTGTGTAACTGCCCAATGGGTTCACCTCGTGCCCTGCTTAGACAGAGCTGATTTATCAAGATAGGGGAATTGCAATGGAGAAAGAGTAATTCAGGCAGAGCTGGCTGTGCGGGAGATCAGAGTTTTATTATTACTCAAATCAGTCTCCCTGAGCATTCGGGGTTCAGAACTTTTAAAGATAATTTGGCATGTAGGGACTTGGGAAGTGGGGACTGCTTATTCATCAGGTTGGAGATGAAATCATACAGGGTTGAAGAGATGTTTTCTTGCTGTCTTCTGTTTGTGGCTGGGGTGGCAGAACTAGTTGAGCCATATTACCAGTCTGGGTGGTGTCAGCTGATTCATCCAGTGCAGGGTCTGCAAAATATCTCAAGCACTGATTTTAGGTTTTACAATAGTGATGTTATCCCCAGGAGCAATTTGGAGAGGTTCAGACTCTTGGAGCCAGAGGCTGCATAACCCCTCAACTGTAATTTCTGATGTTATAGCTAATTTGTTTATCCTGCAAAGGCAGACTGGTTCCAGGCAAGAAGGGGATCTTTTTGGGAAATGGCTATTATCAACTTTGTTTCAGAGTCAAACCATGAACTGAATACCTTCCCGAAATTAGTTCATCCTACTGCCGGGAATGAACAAGGACAGTTTAAATGCTAGAAGCAAGATGGAGTTGATTAAGTCTGATGTCTTTTGCTGTCATAATTTCTTCAGTTATAATTTTTGCAAAGGCAGTTTCAATAACATCAAGCAGAAGAAAGAATCAGTGAAACGGAAGACTAGTCATTTGAAATTATGGAGTCAGAGGAGCAAAAGGGAAAAGGAGTGAAGAGTGAAGACAGCCTAAGAGACTTACAGGATGCCATCAAGCAGACCAATGTATGCATTATGAAAGTGCCAGAAGGAGAAGAGAAAAATAAAGGGGCAGAGAGCCAGTTAAAAAAATAATAACCAAAAACTTCTCAAACTTAAAGAAGGAAATGGACATACAAATCCAAGAGGCTCAAAGAACTCCAAGTTGGATAATTTGCAAAAGACCTACAATGAGACACATTACAATCAAACTGTCAAAAGTTAAAGACAAAGAGAGAATTTTGAAAGGAACAGGATCAAAGCAACTTGTCACATACAAGGGAGATGCTATATGGTTATCAATGGAATTATCAGCAAAAACTCTACAGGTCAGAAGAGAATGGGATGATATATTAAAAGGGCTGAAAGAAAAAAAAAACTGTCAACCAAGAACTGTATAGCCAGTAAAACTCTACTTCAAAAATGAAGGACAAACAAAGAGTTCCCCAGAGAAGTAAAAGGTGAGGGAGTTGATCACCACTAGACCTACCTTACAAAAAATGTTAAAGGGAGTCCTCCAAGTGGAAATGAAAAGGCATTGGATAGAAATACAAAAGCATACAAAATATAAACTTCTTTGGTAAAGGTAAATATATGAGTGAACATAGAATCCTTTAATACTCTAATGGTGGTAAGCAAAACACTTTTTGTCCTTTACTTTTTTTTTTTTTTTTGAGACGAAGTCTTGCTCTGTTGCCCAGGCTGGAGTGCAGTGGTTTGATCATGGCTCACTGCAGCCTTGCAGTCCTGGGCTAAAGCAATCCTCCCACCTCAGCCTCCCGAGTGGCTGGGACTACAGACATGCACCACCACACTCAGATAATATTTTTAAATTTTTAGCAGAGATAAGGCCTTGCTGGTCTCAAACTCCTAGGCTCAAGTGATCCTCCCATTTTGGCCTCTCAAAGTGCTGGGACTACAGGTGTGAGACACCACACCCAGCCTGTAATTCACTTTTAATTGAAGCTTAGAATTTAAAAGGTAAAAGCATAATATTACTGTATTAAATTATGTGAATAAACAATATAAGATATATATTGTGTGACATTGATAACAAGTGAGAAGGAGGTGTAAAGAAGTAGAGTTTTTGTATGTGATTAAAGTTAAGTTGTTGTCAATTTAAAATAGATTATTATAACTATAAGATGTTTTCATGTAATTCTACAGTAACCACAAAGAAAAGACCTACAGAAGATACAAAAATAAAAATGAGAAAGGAACCAAAGCACGTCCCTACCAAAAAAAGAAATCAGTGAAACATAAAGGGAGGCAGAAAGAGAGGAAAAGTGGAAAAAATACCTGGAAGACATGTATAAAACAATGAACAAAATGACAATAGTAAGCCCCTCCCTATCAGTAACTACTTTAAATGCAAATAGGCTAATTTTCCAATCAAAAGACAGAGAATTGGCTGAATGGATTAAAAAATCTAAATATATACTATATGCAAGAGACTTATGTTAGATCTAAACACACACAAAGGTTGAAAGTGAAAGGATGGAAAAAGATATTCAATGCATTTGGTAACCAAAAGAGAACAAGGATGGCCATACTTAGACAAAATAGAGTTTAAGTCAAATAATAGCACAAGAGACAAGGATATTACATAATAATAAAAGGGCCAATTGACCAAGAAGATATAGCAAATATAAATGTATGTGCAACTAACAGTACAGCATCTAAATATATGAAGCTAACATAGACAGAATTGAGGGGTAACATAGATAACAACATCATAATAACAGAAAACTTCAATATTCCACTTTCAATTATGGATACAATAACCAGACAGAAGATCAACTGGAAAACACAGAACTTGAACAACATTGTAGACCAATTGGACCTGTCTGACATATACAGAACACTTCACCCAATAATAGCAAAATATACTTTCTTCTCAAGTACATATCAAGACGTTTCCAGGATAGATGGCATGCTGGTCCACAAGCAAGTTTTTAAAACTTTAAGAAAACTGAACTCATACCAAATATCTTTTCTGACCACATTAAATGAAATTACAAATTCATAGCAGAAGGAAAAAGGAAAAGTAATAAATATGTGGAAATTACAAAAATATACTCTCTTAACCAATTGGCCTGTGTGGTTAATATTAATTGTCAGTTTGATTGAGGGATGCTTAGATGCCTGATGAAGCACTGTGTGTGTGTATATCTGTGAGGGTGCGGCCACAGGAGAATGATGGATGAGTTACTGGACTGAGAGAGAAAAACCCATCCTCACTGTGGGTAGGCATCATGCAATTGGTTACAAGTGTGACTAGAACAAAAAGGCAGAAGAATGGGAACATTCAGCTTGCTTGGATTTCTTTTTTATGCACTTTCTCTCTCTTCCAGAGCAGTATGCCTTTTTCTCCTCTTGCCCTTGCACATCAAACTCTAGGTTCTTTGGCCTTTGGACCCTGGGACTTGCATCAGCAGCCTTTTGGGAGCTCTCAAGCCTTGGGCCTCAGACTAGTGGCTGCACTGTCAGCTTCCCTGGTTTTGAGACTTTCAGATTTGGACTGAGCCATGTCACTGGCTTCCTTGGGAGCCATGCTGTAGGCTTCTCTCATTTTCCAGCTTATAGATGGCCTACTGTGGGACTTTGCCTTTGTAATTATGTGGGCCAATTCTCCTTAATAAATTATATTTCATATATATGTAAATATATTCTCTTTTAGATGCATGTATATGTATCTATATCTATATCTATTATCTATATCTATATCTATATCTATATTTCCTATTGGATCTGACCCTCTGGAGAACTCTGATTAATACATAGTCAAAGAATAAGTCACAAGGAAAGTTAGAAAATGTCTTGAGACAAATAAAAATGGAAACACAACATTCCAAAGCTTGTGGGATGCAGCAAAATGAATATGAAGAGGACAGTTTATATATCTAACTACCTACCTTAAAAAAGAAGAAAGATCTAAAATCAGTAACTTAGCTTTACACCTCAAGAAACTGGAAAAAGAAGAACTCAACCCAATGTTAGCAAAAGTAAGGAAATAATAAAGTCTAGAGCAGAAGGCCGGGAGCAGTGGCTCACGACTGTAATCCCAGCACTTTGGGAGGCCAAGGCAAGTGGATCACCTGAGGTCGGGAGTTCGAGACCAGCCTCAGCAACAGGGAGAAACGTGTCTCTACTGAAAAATACAAAATTAGCCAGGCATGGTGGTGCATGCCTGTAATCCCAGCTACTCTGGAGGCTGAGGCAGGAGAGTCACTTGAACTGGGAAGCGGAGGTTGCAGCTAGCGGAGATCACGCCATTGCACTACAGCCTGGGCAATAAGAGCAAAACTCCATCTCAAAAAAAAAAAAAAAAAAAAAAAGGCTAGAGAATAGAAAAAATCCAGTGAAACTAGTAGTTGTTTCAAAGTTCAACAAAATTGACAAATCATTAGCTAGAATATTTAAGAAAAAAAAGAAGACTCAACTTCTTTTAGGAACAAAAGAGAAGACACTGCAACAGATATTACAGAAATAAAAAGGATTCTAAGAGTCTACTATGAATGATTATATACTGACAAGTTGGATAACCTAGGAGAAATGAAGAGATTCCTTGTAACATGCAAGTTACCAAGACTAAGTCACAAAATAAAAAATCTTAATAAACCTATAACTAGTAACTGAATCAGGAATCAAAAACCTCCCAGCAAACCAAATACCTGACAAGGGGTTAATATCTAAAATATATACAGAACAACAACTCAATAACAAAACAACCTAAATGAGAAATGGTCAGTTGACTTTGCTATGGTCCAAGTGTTCTCCCAATATTCATATGCTGGAGCCTAATATTCAATGTGATAATATTAAGAGGTGGGGCATTTTGGAGATGATTAGTTCATGAAGTCATAGCTCTCAGAAATGGGACTAGGGCCTTTATAAAAGAGGCTTAAGGGAGTTTTTTTTCCCTTTTGAACATGTGAGGACACAGAGAAGGTGCTATGTATAGTGAATATAGTGACCTCACCAGTCACTGAGTCTGTTGTAGCCTAAATCTTGGACTTCTCACACTCCAGAATGCAAGAAATAAATTTTTGTTGTTTATAAATTACCAGCCTAAGATATTTTGTTATAGCAGCAGGAATGGACTAAGATAGACTTGAATCGACATTTTTTCCAAAAAAAATACAAGTGGCCAACTAGCATATCAACCCAAAACTACATGGAAACTGCCAAGGCTTGGGGATTGAACTCTGAAGCAATAACCTGAGCTGTACATTGGCTCCTTTTAGCCATGGCTGGGACACAGGGCACCAAGTCCCAAGACTGCACAGAGCAGCAAAGTTCTGGGCCTGGCCCACAAAACCATTTTTTCCCTCCTAGGCCTCCAACCCTGTCACGGGAGGGGCTGTTGTGAACAACTCTGACATGCCCTGGAGACAATTTCCCCATTATCTTGTCAATTATCATTTGGCTCCTTGTTACTTCTGCAAATTTCTGCAGTCAGCTTGAATTTCTCCCCAGAAAATGGGTTTTCTTTTCTATCACATCATCAGGCTGCAAATCTTCCAAACTTTCATGCTCTGCTCCCTTTTAAACATAAGTTCTAATTCCAAACCATATTTTTGTGAATGCATAAAACTGAACACTTTTAAGAGCACTCAGGTCATAAATTGAACACTTTGCTGCTTACAAATTTCTTCTACCAGATGTCTTGGATGGGTTCCAAGATAGCCAAATAGGAACAGTTCCGGTCTGCAGCTCCCAGCATGATTGACACAGAAGACAGGTGATTTCTGCACTTCCAACTGAGGTACCTGGTTCATCTCATTGGGACTTGTTGGAGAGTGGGTGCAGGCCCACGGAGGGTGAGCTGAAGCAGGGTGGGGCATCGCCTCCCCGGGAAAGCACAAGGGGTTGGGGGATTTCCCTTTCCTAGCCAAGGGAAGCTGTGACAGACTACCTGGAAAAACAGGGCACTCCCGCCCAAATACTGCACTTTTCCCAAGGTCTTAGCAACTAGCAGACAAGGTGATTCTCTCCTGTGCCTGGCTCAGTAAGTCCCACACCCATGGAGCCTTGCTCACTGCTAGCGCAACAGTCTGAAATCCATCTGCAAGGTGGCAGCCTGGCTGCGGGAGGGGGGTCCACCATTGCTGAGGCTTAAGTAGGTAAACAAAGTGGCCAGGGAAGCTTGAACTCGGTGGAGCCCACTACAGCTCAACAAGGCCCATAGCCTCTAGACTCCACGTCTGTGGGCAGGGATAGCTGAACAAAAGGCAGCAACTTCTGCAGACTGAAACGTCCCTGTCTGACAGCTCTGAAGAGAGCAGTGGTTTTCCCAGCATGGTGTTTGAGTTCTGAGAATGGACAGACTGCCTCCTCAAGTGGGTCCCTGACCCCTGTGTAGCCTAACTGGGACACACCTCCCAGTAGGGGCTGACAGACACCTCATATAGGCGGCTGCCTCTCTTGGACGAAGCTTCCAGAGGAAGGATCAGGCAGAAATATTTGCTGTTCTGCAATATTTGCTGTTCTGCAGCCTCCACTGGTGGTACCCAGGCAAACAGTGTCTGGAGTGGAACTCCAGCAAACTCCAACAGAT
The DNA here is from genome assembly GCF_000001405.40 of Homo sapiens. Taxonomy (NCBI): domain Eukaryota; kingdom Metazoa; phylum Chordata; class Mammalia; order Primates; family Hominidae; genus Homo; species Homo sapiens. The sequence goes on from NW_021160000.1 coordinate 333,140, forward strand.
CTGCAGCTGAGGGTCCTGACAGTTAGAAGGAAAACTAAAAAACAGAAAGGAATAGTGTCAACATTAACAAAAGATCATCTAACCCAAAACCCCATCTGTAGATCAACAATATCAAAGACCAAAGGTAGATAAAACCAAAAGGATGGGGATAAACCAGAGCAGAAAAGCTGAAAATTCTAAAAATCAGAGCACCTCTTCTCCTCCAAAGGATCACAGCTCCTTGTCAGCAATGGAACAAAGCTGGACAGAGAATGACTTTGACGAGTTGACAGAAGTAGGCTTCAGAAGGTTGGTAATAAGAAACTTCTCCGAGCTAAAGGAGGACGTTGGAACCCATTGCAAGGAAGCTAAAAACCTTGAAAAAAGATTAGACGAAAGGCTTACAAGAATAAACAGTGTAGAGAAGACCTTAAGTGACCCAATGGAGCTGAAAACCATGGCATGAGAACTTTGTGACGCATGCACAAGCTTCAATAGCCGATTCAATCAAGTGGAAGAAAGGGTATCAGTGATTGAAGATCAAATAAATGAAATAAAGTGAGAAGACAAGGTTGAGAAACAAGAGTAAAAAGAAATGAAGAAAGCCTCCAAGAAATATGAGACCATGTAAAAAGACCAAATCTACATTTGATTGGTGTACCGGAAAGTGATGAGGAGAATGGAACCAAGTTGGAAAACACTCTGTAGGATATTATCCAGGAGAACTTCCCCAATCTAGCAAGGCAGGCCAACATTCAACTTCAGGAAATACAGAGAACAACACAAAGATACTCTTTGAGAAGAGCAATTCCAAGACACATAATTGTCAGATTCACCAAGGTTGAAGTGTAGGAAAAAGTGTTAAGGGCAGCCAGAGAGAAAGGTCAGGTTAGCCACAAAGAGAAGCCCATCAGACTAACAGCTGATCTCTTGGCAGAAACCCTACAATCCAGAAGAGAGTGGGGGCCAATATTCAACATTCTTAAAGAAAATAATTTTCAAACCAGAGTTTCATATCCAGCCAAACTAAGCGTCATAAGTGAAGGAGAAAATAAAATTCTTTACTGACAAGCAAATGCTGAGAGATTTTGTCACCACCAGGCCTGCCTTACAAGAGCTCCTGAAGGAAGCACTAAACATGGAAAGAAACACCCGGTACCAGCCAGTGCAAAAACATGCCAAGTTGTAAAGAACATCAATGCTAGGAAGAAACTACATCAATTAACGGGCAAATAACCAGCGAATATCATAATGACAGGATCAAATTCACACATAACAATATTAACTGTAAACATAAATGGGCTAAATGCCCCAATTAAAGGACACAGACTGGCAAATTGGATAAAGAGTCAAGACCCATCAGTGTGCTGTATTCAGGAGACCAATCTCATGCGCAAATTCACACATAGGTTCAACATAAAGGGATGGAGGAAGATCTACCAAGAAAATGGAAAACAAAAAAAGGCAGGGGTTGCAATCCTTGTCTCTGATAAAACAGACTTTAAACCAACAAAGATCAAAAGAGACAAAGAAGGCCATTACATAATGGTAAAGGGATCAATGCAACAAGAAGAGCTAACTATCCTAAATATATATGCACCTAATACAAGAGCACCCAGATTCATAAAGCAAGTCCTTAGAGACCTACAAAGAGACTTAGATTCCCACACAATAATAATGGGAGACTTTAACACCCAACTGTCAATATTAGAAAGATCAACAAGGCAGAAGGTTAACAAAGATATCCAGGACCTGAACTCAGCTCTGCAACAAACAGACCCAATAGACATCCACAGAACTCTCCACCCCAAATCAACAGAGTGTACATTCTTCTCAGCACCACATCTCACTTATTCTAAATTTGACCACATAATTGGAAGTAAAGCACTCCTCACCAAATGTAAAAGAACAGAAATCACAACAGACTGTCTCTCAGACCACAGTGCGATCAAATTCGAACTTAGGATTAAGAAGCTCACTCAAAACTGAACAACTACATGGAAACTGAACAATTTGCTCCTGAATGACTACTGGGTAAATAACAAAATGAAGGCAGAAATAAAGATGTTCTTTGAAACCAATGAGAACAAAGACACAATGTACCAGAATCTCTGGGACACATTTAAAGCAGTGTGTAGGGGGAAATTGATAGCACTAAATGCCCAGAAGAGAAAGCAGGAAAGATCTAAAATTGACCCCCTAACATCACAATTAAAAGTACTAGAGAAGAAAAAGCAAACACATTCAAAAGCTGGCAGAAGGAAAAAATAAGATCAGAGCAGAGCTGAAGGAGACAGAGACACAAAAAACCCTTCAAAAAAGCAATGAATCCAGGAGCTTGTTTTTTGAAAAGATCAACAAAATTGATAGACTGCTAGCAAGACTAATAAAGAGAAAAGAGAGAGGAATCAAATAGATGCAATAAAATGATAAAGGGGATATCACCACTGAGCCCAGGGAAATAAAAACTACCATCAGAGAATACTATAAACGCCTATACACAAATAAACTTGAACATCTGGAAGAAATGGATAAATTCTGGGACACATACACCCTTGCAAGACTAAACCAGGAAGAAGTTGAATCTCTGAATAGACCAATAACAGGCTCTGAAATTGAGGCAATAATTAATAGCCCACCAACCAAAAAAAAGTCCAGGACCAGATGCATTCACAGCTGAGTTCTACCAGAGGTACAAAGAGGAGCTGGTATCATTCTTTCTGAAACTTTTCCAATCAATAGAAAAAGATAGAATCCTCCCTAATTCATTTTATGAGACCAACATCATCCTGATACCAAAGCCTGACAGACACAACAACAAAAAAAGAGAATTTTAGACCAATATCCCGGATGAACATTGATGCAAATATCCTCAATAAGATACTAACAAACTGAATCCAGCAGCACATCAAAAAGCTTATCCACCACGATCAACTTGGCATCCCTAGGATGCAAGACTGGTTCAACATACGCAAATCAATAAGCGTAATACATCATATAAACAGAACCAAAGACAAAAACCACATGATTATCTTAATAGATGCAGAAAAGACCTTTGACAAAATTCAACAGCCCTTCATGCTAAGAACTCTCAATAAACTAGGTATTGATGGGATGTATCTCAAAATAATAAGAGCTATTTATGACAAAAACACAGCCAATATCATATTGAATGGACAATAACTGGAAGCATTCCCTTTGAAACCTGGCACAAGACAACGATTCCCTCTCTCACCACTCCTATTCAACATAGTCTTGGAAGTTCTGGCCAGGTCAATCAGGCAAGAGAATGAAATAAAGGGTATTCAATTAGGAAAAGAGGAAGTCAAATTGTTCCTGTCTGAAGATGACATGACTGTATATTCACAAAACCCCATCATCTCAGCCCAATATCTCCTTAAGCTGATAAGCAACTTCAGCAAACTCTCAGGATACAAAATCAATGTGCAAAAATCACAAGCATTCCTATACACCAATAACACAAAAACGGAGAGCCAAATCATGAGTGAACTCCCATTCACAATTGCTTCAAAGAGAATAAAATACCTTGGAATCCAACTTACAAGGGATGTGAAGGGCCTCTTCAAGGAGAACTACAAACCACTGCTCAACAAAATAAAAGAGGACACAAACAAATGGAAGAACATTCCATGCTCATGGATAGGAAGAATCAATATCGTGAAAATGGCCATACAGACAAAGATAATTTATAGATTCAATGCCGTCCCAATCAAGCTACCAATGACTTTCTTCACAGAATTGGAAAAAACAACTTTAAAGTTCATATGGAACCAAAAAAGAACCTGCATTGCCAAGTCAATCCTAAGCAAAAAGAACAAAGCAGGAGGAATCACACTACCTGACTTCAAACTACACTACAAGGCTACAGTAACCAAAACAGCATGGTACTAGTGCCAAAACAGAGATACAGACCAATGGAACAGAATAGAGCCCTCGGAAATAATACCACACATCTACAACCATCTGATCTTTGACAAACCTGACATAAACAAGAAATGGGGAAAGGATTCCCTATTTAATAAATGGTGCTGGGAGAACTGGCTAGCCATATGTGGAAAGCTGAAACTGGATCCCTTCCTTACACCTTATATAAAATTTAATTCAAGATGGATTAAATACTTAAATGTTAGACCTAAAACCATAAAAACCCTAGAAGAATACCTAGGCAATACCATTCAGGACATAGGCATGGGCAAGGAATTCATGACTAAAACACCAATAGCAATGGCAACAAAAGCCAACATTGACAAATCAGATCTAATTAAATTCAAGAGCTTCTGCATAGCAAAAGAAACTACCATCAGAGTGAACAGACAACCTACAGAATGGGAGAAAATTTTTACAATCTACCCATCTGACAAAGGGCTAATATCCAGAATCTACAAAGAACTTAAACAAATTTATATGAAAAAATCAAACTACCCCATCAAAAAGTGGGCAAAGGGTATGAACAGACACTTCTCAAAAGAAGACATCTATGCAGCCAACAGACACATGGAAAAATGCTCATCACCACTGGCCATCAGAGAAATGCAAATCAAAACCACAATGAGATACCATCTCACACCAATTAGAATGGCGATCATTAAAAAGTCAGGAAGCAACATGTGCTGGAGAGGATATGGAGAAATAGGAACACTTTTACAGTGTTGGTTGGAGTGTAAACTAGTTCAATCATTGTAGAAGACAGTGTGGCAATTCCTCAAGGATCTAGAACTAGAAATACCATTTCACCCAGCCATCCCATTACTGGGCATATACCCAAAGGATTGTGAATCATGCTGCTATAAAGACACATGCACACGTATGTTTATTGCGGCACTATTCACAATAGCAAAGACTTGGAACCTACCTAAATGTCCATCAATGATAGACTGGATTAAGAAAATGTGGCACATATACACCATGGAATACTATGCAGCCATAAGAAGGATGAGTTCATGTCCTTTGTAAGGACACGGATGAAGCTAGAAACCATCATTCTGAGAAAACTATCGCAAGGACAGAAAACTAAACACCACATGTTCTCACTCATAGGTGGGAATTGAACAATGAGAACACTTGGACACAGGGTGGGGTACATCACACACTGGGGCCTGTCATGGAGTGGGGGGAGGGGGAATAGCATTAGGAGATATATCTAATGTAAATGATGAGTTAATGGGTGCAGCACACCAACATGACACATGTATACATATGTAACAAACCAGCACATTGTGCACATGTACCCTAGAACTTAAAGTATAATAATAGAAAAACTATGACACTCTCCTACTTACCATATCTGTAGAAAAATTATAAATTTTAGATAACCATCCAGAGATATTTCTCTAATTCTTGGAAAAAATATCAACATTGAAAACATCAAAAAAAATTAAACAGCTCTTTTTTCATCCAAAAAAAAAGAACAATAGAGAATCCTCCCTAAGTCATTTTATGAGGCCAACATCATCCTGGTACCAAACCCTGGCATTGACACAACAAAAAAAGAGAATTTTAGACCAATATCCTTGATGAACATCGATGCAAAAATCCTCAATAAAATACTGGCAAACCAAATCCAGCAGCACATCAAAAAGCTTATCCACCACGATCAAGTGGGCTTCATCCCTGGGATGCAAGGCTGGTTCAACATAGGCAAATCAATAAACGTAATCCATTACATAAACAGAACCAAAGACAAAAACCACATGATTATCTCAATAGATGCAGAAAAGGCCTTTGACAAAATTCAACACTCCTTCATGCTAACAACTCTCAATAAACTAGATATTGATGGGACGTATCTCAAAATATTAAGAGCTATTTATGACAAACCCACAGCCAATATCATACTGAATGGGCAAAAACTGGAAGCATTCCTTTTGAAAACCGGCACAAGACAAGGATGCCCTCTCTCACCACTCTTATTCAACATGGTGTTGGAAGTTCTGACCAGTGGAATCAGGCAGGAGAAAGAAATAAATGGTATTCAGTTAGGAAAAGATGAAGTCAAATTGTCCCTGTTTGCAGATGACGTGATTGTATATTTAGAAAACCCCACCGTCTCAGCCCAAAATCTCCTTAAGCTGATAAGCAAATTCAGCAAACTCTCAGGATACAAAATTAATGTACAAAAATCACAAGCATTCCTATACACCATTAATAGACAAACAGAGAGCCAAATCATGAGTGAACTCCCATTCACAATTGCTACAAAGAGAATAAAATACCTAGGAATCCAACTTACAAGGGTTGTGAAGGACCTCTTCAAGGAGAACTACAAACCACTGCTCAACGAATTAAAAGAGGACACAAACAAATGGAAGAATATTCCACGCTCATGGATAGGAAGAATCAATATCCTGAAAATGGCCATACTGCACAAAGTAATTTATAGATTCAATACCATCCCCATCAAGCTACTAATAACTTTCTTCACAGAATTGGAAAAAAACTACTTTAAAGTTCATATGGAACCAAAAAAGAGCCTGCATTGCCAAGACAATCCTAAGCAAAAAGAACAAAGCTGGAGGCATCACACTACCTGACTTCAAACTACACTACAAGGCTACAGTAACCAAAACAGCATGGTACTAGTGCCAAAACAGAGATACAGACCAATGGAACAGAATAGAGCCCTCGGAAATAAGACCACACATCTACAGCCATCTGATCTTTGACAAACCTGACAAAAACAAGAAATGGGGAAAGGATTACCTATTTAATAAATGACGCTGGGAAAACTGGCTAGCTATATGTAGAAAGCTGAAACTGGATCCCTTCCTTACATCTTATACAAAAATTAATTCAAGATGGATTAAAGACTTAAATGTTAGACCTAAAACCATAAAAACCCTAGAAGAAAACATAGGCAATACCATTCAGGCCATAGGCATGAGCAAGGACTTCATGACTAAAACACCAAAAGCAATGGCAACAAAAGCCAAAATTGACAAATGGGATCTAATTAAACTAAAGAGCTTCTGCATGGCAAAAGAAACTGCCATCAGAGTGAACCAGGCAACATACAGAATGGGAGATAAATTGCAATCTACCCATTTGACAAAGAAAGAATTCAAACAAATTTACAAGAAAAAAACAACCCCATCAAAAAGTGGGCAAAGATATGAATAGACACTTCTCCAAAGAAGACATCTATGCAGCTAACAGACACAAGAAAAAAAGCTCACCATCACTGGTCATCAGAGAAATGCAAATCAAAACCACAATGAGATACCATCTCACCCCAGTTAGAATGGTATTCATTAAAAAGTCAGGAAACAACAGGTGCTGGAGAGGATATGGAGAAATAGGAACGCTTTTACACTGTTGGTGGGAGTGTAAACTAGTTCAACCATTGTGAAAGACATTGTGGTGATTCCTCGAGGATCTAGAACTAGAATTACCATTTGACCCAGCAATCCTATTACTGGGTATATACCCAAAGGATTATAAATCATGCTACTATAAAGACACATGCACATGTATGTTTATTGCGGCACTATTAACAATAGCAAAGACTTGGAATCAACCCAAATGTCCATTAATGATGGACTGGATTAAGACATGTGACACATATACACCATGGAATACTATGCAGCCATAAAAAAGGATGAGTTCATGTCCTTTGCAGGGAGATAGAAGAAGCTGGAAACCATCATTCTCAGCAAAACTATCACAAGGACAGAAAACCAAACACCGCATGTTCTCACTCATAGATGGGAATTGAACAATGAGATCACTTGGACACAGGGCTGAGAACATCACACACTGGGGCTTGTTGAGGGGTGGAGGGCTGGGGGAGGGAGAGCATTAGGAGAAATACCTAATGTAAATGATGAGTTGATGGGTGCAGCAAACCAACATGGCACATGTATACCTATGTATCAAACCTGCACGTTGTGCACATGTACCCTAGAACTTAAGGTATAACAACAACAACAACAACAACAAACGTTTCTTCTACCAGATGTCCTCAGTCATCTCTCTCAATTTCAAAGTTCCATAAATCTGTAGGGCAGGGGCAAAATGCCACCAGTCTCTTTGCTAAAGCATAACAAGAGTGACCTTTACTTCAGTTCCCAACAAGTTGTTCATCTCCATCTCGGACCTCCTCAGCCTGGACTTCACTGTCCACGTCACTATCAGCAGTTTGGTCAAAACCATTCAACAAGTCTCTAGGCAGTTACAAACTTTCCCACATCTTCTGGTCTACTTCTGAGTCCTGCCAACTGTTCCAAACTCTGCACATTACACAGTTCCAAAGTCACTTCCACATTCTCAGGTATCTTATAGCAATACTCCATTACCTCAGTATCAAAATCTGTATTAGTCATGGTTCTCTAGAGGGATAGAACTAATAGGATATATATATATATATGAAAGGGAGTTTATTAGGGAGAATTGAATCACACCATCACAATCGAAGTCCTACAACAGGCTGTCTGCAAGTTGAGGAACAAGGAATCTAGTATTGGCTCAGTCCGAGTCCCAACACCTCAAAAGTAGGGAAACCTACAGGCCAGCTTTGAGTCTCTGGATGAAGGCCTGAGAGCCCCTGGAAAACAACTGGAGTAAGTCCAAGAGTCCAAAAGCCAAAGAACCTGGAGTCTGATATTTGAGTGCAGGAAGCATCCAGCATGGGAGAAAGATGAGGGCAGAAGGCTCAGCAAGTCAGCTTCTTCTAACCTTCTTCTGCCTGCTTTATTCTAGCCATGCTGGCAGCTGATTGTATGGTGCCCACCCACACTGAGGGTGGATCTGCCTTTCCCAGTCCACTAAATAAATGTTAATCTCCTTTGGCAACACCCTCACAGACACAACCGGGAACAATACTTTGGATCCTTCAATCTAATCAAGTTGACACTTACTGAATATTAACCTTCACAATGTAATATTCATCCAATTTGTAACTTTTCTTTAATATACAAGCTCCTTGAGAACATGCACCATTTGATCTTGTCTCTCTGTTGTGTTGGGAGGCAGTGGAGAAGAGAAGAGTTAAATGTGTGGGTGTGGAGTGAAAGACTGTCAGATTTGCATCTTGGCTCCCCTACTTATTGGATCTCTGTCCTTGAGAAAATTACTTAACATTTTTCTCAGTTTCCTTACCTGTAAATGAGTGGTGACATATATGGAACTTAGAACAAGAGCCAAGCAAGTATTCAATAAAAGCTAATGTTGTTGCCTACTGTTTATTCTCAGTGTTTGGCATAGTAGCCGGCAAAAGGAAGAGGAATTTTTTTTTCTTTTTTTCAGACAGTCTCCCTCTGTCACCCAGGCTGGAGTGCAGTGGTGTGATCTTGGCTCACTGCAACCTCTGCCTCTTGGTTTCAAGCGATTCTTGTGCCTCAGCCCCCTGAGTAGCTGGGATTACAGGCCTGTGCCACCACACCCAGCTAACGTTTTGTATTTTTAGTAGAGATGGAGCTTTGCTATTTTGGCCAGGCTGGTCTTGAACTCATGTCCTCAAGTGATCCCCCCGCTTTGGCCTCCCAAAGTGTTGGGATTATAGGCATGAGCCATTGGGCCCAGCCTGGAAATATTTTTTTGAAACATGACTGATAACAATATTTTTTGAAAGAAAGACAGATACCAATCATGAAGGAAAACATTTTCACAATTGACAATAAAAAAACTTTAACTTCTGAATGGTAAAAAGAGTGAGAAAATTAAAAGCCAAATCACAAATTGAAAAAACTAAAGTATATAAAACAAAGGTTTTCATTCTCAATTTAATGCAGAATCTTGACAAATCAAAAAGAACAAAAGGTGAACCCACCAAAAGAAATAGGCAAAAAACTTTCAAGAAAAGCAATTTACAAAATGCCAATGACGAATAAACATGGATATTTAACAACACTAGTATTCAAAGTACTTCATTTATAGAGATCCCTCCTTCACCTATCAAATTAGCAAAGATGAAAAAGGCTAGTAATACCAAGTTTTGAAGAGAGGTGAGAGGAAATGACAAGTTTATGTACCCTGGTAGGATTTGATATTGTGGCAATATGTTTCAGAACACTCATAAATGTATATACCTTTTAGATCAACAATTACACTTTTAAGCTTAAGAAAATATGAAGATTAGGTACAAATATTTCCCTATATGTTCTTCTAAGTATTATTTTTTTAATTAAAAAAATTTTTTTGAGACAGAGTCTCGCTCTGTTGCCCAGGCTGGATAGCTCACTACAGCCTCCGCCTCCTGGGTTCAAGTGATTCTTCTGCTTCAGCCTCCTGAGTAGCTGGGATTACAGATGCCCACAACCGTGCCTGGCTAAGTTTTGTATTTTTAGTGGAGACGGGGTTTCACCATGTTCGTTGGCCAGGCTGGTCTTGAACTCCTGACCTCATGTGATCCACCCTTCTTGGCCTCCCAAAGTGCTGGGATTATATGTGTGAGCCACCATGCCCGGCCAATTTTTTAATTTAAAAAAATATTTTTATAGCAGCACAACTAAGTATTATTTTAATAGTAAATATTGGAGTTAACTTTAATTTTGAACAGGATAAGTAATCATGATGCAGCACATTGAATACTCTTTCATTAAGCTAAACAACTATTAAAAATGATATACAAATACATTTACTGAAAAGAAACATGTTTGTGATATACAGTTAAGTGTAAAACAATTCAGGTTATAAGAACATATTAGGCCGGGTGCGATGGCTCATGCCTGTAATCCCAGCACTTTGGGAGGCCAAGGCAGGAGGATCACGATGTCAGGAGATCAAGACCATCCTGGCTAACACGGTGAAACCCTGGCTCTACTAAAAATACAAAAAAAAATTAGCCAGGTGCGGTGGCGGGCGCCTGTAGTCCCAACTACTTGGGAGGTTGAGGCAGGAGAATGACATGAACCCAGGAGGCAGAGCATGCAGTGAGCCGAGATTGTGCCACTGCACTCCAACCTTGGTGACAGAGCAAGACTCCGCCTCAAAAAAAAAAATAAAAGAACATATTGGTCAATATTCACTAATTTTTATAAGAATATTTGACAGAGAGAGAGGGGTAACGGAAGGGAAGGGGGAGGGGAGGGGAAGGGAAGGGAAGGGAAGAAGGGAAAAAGGGAAGGGAAGGGAATATGGGTGGATTTATATCAAAAGGTTCAGAAGGAAATGATTCTTTTCTTCTGGATGTGACTATTGCAGATTTTTTTAACTTTTCCTCTTTTTCTTATTTATTTATATTTTCTTATTTTAAGAGAAACTATAAAACTATATATATTACTTTTCAACTTAAAAATAGTTTAGTGCTTCAATAATACAGAAGACTCAAACATTGCAGATAATTAAAGCATTACTAAATGTGGAAATGTTTAGTTTCACAATTTCTGTAGTGATATTCAAGACCAGATATCACCTTGGGAATCAGAACTGGTGCAGGATCTTGTCCTAACACTACCAAAAAGGCATATGGCTGTCCCAGCTCTGTATGTTTATATTGTCTTATAATAGAGCAACCAGTTGTTTATTAGGATGGCCAAAAAGGCACATTTCAAAAATGCCTATTAAAATATTAGTAGTACAAATAATACTGCTGCTTAATTTTTTCTAATGAGAACTGATAAAATTCAAAAGCAACATAAGCATATAAATAGTAATAATATGGTGTATCAAATTAATTGTCACATGATTATTAAAGTGAGATCATGTGTGTTAAGTAGTGGTATCTTAAGCCACTGAAATATCTTCCTTGGTCTGGAATGAGCTTTCTATGGAGATTAAAAAGATGTTAAATTGAACAGTCTTGGTTAATAAATGAAGAAGCAAAGCCAGAAACCCTGTTTAAAGAACTAACAAAAAAGGTCATGAATGATCTGGTGGTTGTTATATTTTCTTGTTTACCCGAGAAGAAGACTATGCTCAAGCATGTATTGAATCCAGTGATAGCCAGAATGTCATCCATACTGCTAGCAGCCATTAGTAGGTTGGAATGTCTTCCTCAACACCATATCCATTTTCTTGCAACACCATCATGTAAAGGACAACAACAACAGGAGAGACAGCACCTAAAACAAAACTGAGAGAATGAAAATTAATTTAAAAGCATCTTTTTAATCAAGTAGTGTTTATAAGTACAAGTAGTTTATAATAAATTTATAACAAACATTGTTTAGAAGAATTTCAAATTTGAGTGAATGCAATTTAATGGTGATAAAACTTTTCATGCATGGTTTAGTGTTAGCTAAAATTTTATACAGACGTGGTTTAAAATGTTGGCCTGAGCACAGGTTGCAGCCTTTCCCTCTATTCCTAAATCCTTTGAAATGAAGATGTAAAGGTAATAGAAAAATTCATAACCTAACAAGAAAGCAAAAGGTGAATCATCAATGGACAAGAAACTAAGCATATGCCAGAAAGATAAGAGACAGACAATTTAGGATTGAAAAAAGGAAACCATAAACCAAAATGTGTGTAAATAAGATTGCCTCAAAAGATACATGTGCTTCTAAAAGTGGTCCAAGCCCTGAAATGACAGGTGCTGGGAGCAGGAGAGACCTCTGGGGAAACCAAATAGTTGATTATTTGGAGTACCACTGTAAGAATGGTCAGACAAATCTACCTTCCACACATTTCCTACCTCTCGAGTAAATAAGTAAGTAAGGAAGGAAGGAACAGAGTTGTCTGCCCAAAAAAACAAGTGTGGCCACCTAAGTTACAAAGGCAAATGAGAACATTTCTGGAGTGGTTGATGACACCCATGAGGAATGGGGAGGCTCCTGCTCAGAATACCTTCTATTGGCATATCTTATCCAGAATTTCACCCCATCTCTTCTACATTTACTTTATAAAGCGTGAAGTATATCCTGTGTAGAAATGCCTTTGGTGCTCCTGCCAGAATCCATTTACCAGGTCAATGAACACATCTCCCAGTGCTTCTTGTTGGCTGCTATTACCTGCAGGTTTCTAGAACCCTTGTCCTGCTGACAAGCACCTACTTGGGAATACTAGGGAGGTTGTGCACCCCTCTATTTTCCCTCCAGACAGCATCTGCCAATGACGGACTGATGTGAGATTTGCTTCTGGCTGTACAACTCTATGGTGCAGTTTATGCTACAGATTTCCCTGTGGGCTCAAGAAGAGACTAGACTTCTCTAAGACCACATACTGGTCTAGTTCAGTGGTTCCTGAGCTCTGCTGCACATTGTAATCACTTGTTGTATTATTTTTCTCATTTTGCTTAACAAGTCATCCCCAAACATAGCAGCTTAAAACAACAAATATTTATTGTCTTATGACTTCTGTGGGTCAGGAATCTGGGCATGGCTTAGCTGTATGCCTTGACTTAAGATTTCCCATGAGGTAGGGTGGGGTGGAGAAGATCTGCTTCCAAGTTTACTCATGTAGCCATTGCAGGCTTCAGTTTTTTCCAACGGGGTTTTCTCCACAGGGCTGCCTCAGGACATGGCAGCTGGCTTCCCCAGGAATAAGTGATCAAAGAGAATTTAATCCACAACATCAATTACAAACACAAAGTGTCTAAGAACAAAACTGTGAAGACAGTCTATACTTTTATAAAAATTGTGAATCTAATAATATAGTAATTAAGATAATACCTGAATACTTAGAGAGACATTTCACAAGTGTGAACTAAAAAGCCCCAATTTTACCATCACCCAACACCACGCCTGGCTAGTTTTTGTGTTTTTAGTAGATACAGTGTTTCACCATTTTGGCCAGGCTGGTCTTGAACTCCTGACCTCAAGTGATATGCCTGCCTTGGCCTCCCAAACTGCTGGGATTATAGGTGTGAGCCACCACGCCTGGCCAAAGCCTCAATAATATAAAGATGTAATCTCTCCCCCAAATGAATTAATCAGAGATACACCAATCAAAATCTTTGCAGGGATTTTTACTGAGCTTGACAAGCTGATTATAAAATTCATTTGGAAGAATAAGATCTTAGAATGAAAGATCAAGTAAACTTAAGAAAACAAGATACTGTTTTTGTAAAGGTAAAATAGTTAAAACTGAATAATAGTGACATATAAATAGACAAAATAAATTGGAAGAAAAGAGAATACAAAGTGTGGAAACAAATCTATGGGATTTGTTACATCATACAATTTGTATTTTAAATCGGTGGGAGAAAGAAAGAAATCTTTCACAAACGGTGCTGAGATAACTATTTATGTGGAAAGGAATATAGATCGATCCTTAAACATAATAAATGTTAAAAGCTCAAAAGGAAAAGTAGTAATAAGAAAATGTAGTGGGCTAGGCATGATGGCTCACACCTGTAATCCCAGCACTTTGGGAGGCTGAGGTGGACAGATCAGGAATCTGAGACCAGCCTGGCCAACATGGTGAAACCAATAGCTGGGTGCAGTGGTGCATGCTTGTAGTCCCAGCTACTTGGGAGGTTGAGGCAGGAGAATGACTTGAACCTGGGAGGTGGAGGTTGCAGTAAGCTGAGGTCATGCCACTGCACTACAGCCTGGGTGACAGCAAGACTCTGAACAACAACAAAAAAAGATGTAGAATAATATATTTGTGATCATGAGGTAAAAAGGACCTTTTGAATGATACATACAAAGGCATTAGACATAAAAAGAGATTTTGATACATTCAATTATATTAAAGTAGTACTTCAAAAGTACTATAATAAAGTACTACTTCAAAAGCAATTCTGCTCTTTCTTCCCCTTTTACTCTTTTTCATTTTCAAAGTCAAGTGAACAGTGCTGTGTATTGGCAATTCTGTCTGTTGAAAATAACAAAATACACTTCTTAGAGTGAAAAAAAATCATCACAAACAAAATTAAATATCTACTGATATTTGCAATACATATAATTTACAAATGCATATAACAGATATAATTAATAAAGAAGATCAACTCAACAAAAAAATGGACAAAGGATATGAACAGGCTAGTTACAGATAAGGAAAAGCTGAAGGACAACACATATATAAAAGATATTCAAGCTTGTGAATAATCACAGAAATGCAAATTAAAATAACAAAAATATGCCATTTTTTCAATTATCAGACTGGAAAACATTATAAAATTTAATAATATCAAAGATTTGCAAGGATTTTCAAGAACATCAGGTAGGCTCATAAGCTATTGGTATTGGGGCAAATTAAAGTGGCCATACTGAAAGGATTTTGGCAGTATACATCAAACTAAAAATGCATGTAACCCAGGTAACTATTCTAGACAAACTTATATTTATGTAAAATGAGACAAATAAAATGCTATTTTTGTTATAACATTGTAAATAAAATCTGCTGTTGACATACAATGTAATCTTATACAATTAAAAGGAATAAACTACATATGTATCTATCTTGAGATGGATAAACTTCAAGACTATTGTTGAATGAAAAGAACAAATTGTAAAGTAAAATTTTCTTGGGTATGATTAAGTAAAAGTGCACAAAATAATACTCTTTTTTTCTCTGGGTTCACAAATACATTTGTTAGAAGTCCAGAACATTATTTTTAAAGATCTAGAATGATAACATAAAACTCATGAAGATGCTGCCACTCTGTCTCCAGCAGCACATGAGTGCTCCCCACAGCACCATTGCCCCGGCTGGCACGTGTAAGTATGCAGAACACCCCATCCCACTCCTGCCGGCACTGCACCCCTGCCAACACAAGCATACCTGCTCTGTGCTGCTGCTGCTGGCACATATGTGTGAGTGGGGACCTTGCTACAATCACTACAATGAAGCACTTTGGCTGACACACCCCATCAGAGTGTTGTTGCCAGTGGACTGGGAACACCTCAGTGCTTAACACTGAAGGGCCAGACAACAAAACTGTGGGTATGGTACCAGCCTTGCAAAGTTAGAGCATGCAGTTCAGGAGTGCTGAGCTGAGCCTTTGTCCCCTGAAATCTTCCAGAAATGAATCCATTTGACTGAAACTACCTTGTGCCACAGTCAAACCCTCAAGGGCATTAAAGAATATAAAAAAGGAAAAAACTCCATCCAAAGGACAGTGATTCAAAACATTAAAGGAACTTTAGCCCACACAGATGTGAAAGAACCAGTGCAAGAACTCTGGCAATGTAAAAAGCCAGAATGTCTTCCTGTCTTCAAGCAATCATACTAACTCTCCAACAATGGTTGTTAACCAGGATTAAATGACAGAATCTGGATAGAAACAAAGATCATTGAGATTCAGAAGAAAGTCAAAATCCAATCCAAATAATGTAAGGAATCCAATAAGATGACATAAGAGCTGAAAGATGAAATAGGCATTTTAAGAAAGAACCAAACTAAACTGATAGAGCTGAAAAATGCACCTCAAGAATTTCATAATACAATAACAAGTACTAACAGCAGAACGGACCAAGCTGAGGAAAGAATCTCAGATCTCAAAGACCACTTCTTTGAATCAACTCAGTCAGATGAAAATAAAGAACAAAAAAGAATGAACAAAACCTCTGAGAAATCTGAGATTATGTAAAGAGACCAAACATATGACTCAAGACATCACTCAAAGAAAGGGAGAAAGAACAAGCAAGTTGGAAAACGTATTTGAGGATACTGCCCAAAAAATTTCCCAAATCTTGCTAGAGAAGTCACCATTTGAATCCAGGAAATGCAGAGAATCCTGTGAGATACTATACAAGATGACCATCCTCAAGACAGAGAGTCATCAGATTCTCCAAGGTCAACATGAAATAAAAAAATATGAAAGACAGCTAAAGTGAAGGGTCAGGTCACATACAAAGGGAATCCCATCAAGCTAACAGTGGAACTATAAGATACTCTACAATCCAAAAGAAATTGGGGGCCTATATTCAACACTCTTTTTTTTTTTTCGAGACAGAGTCTCACTCTGTTGCCCAGGCTGGAGTGCACTGGTGCTATCTCGGCTCACTGCAACTTCCAATTCCCGGGTTCAAGCAATTCTTCTCCCTCAGCCTCCCAAGTAGCTGGGACTACAGGTGCGCACCACAACACCCGACAATTTTTTATAATTTTAGTAGAGACAGGATTTCACCATATTGGCCAGGGTGATCTCAAATTCTTGACCTTGTGATCTGCCCACCTTGGCCTCTCAAAGTTCTGGGATTACAGGTGTGAGCCACCATGCCCGGCCTTCAGCATTCTTAAAAAAAAAATACTTGGCCAGGTGTGGTGGCTCATGCCTGTAATCCCAGCACTTTGGGAGGCTGAGGGGGACGGAACACAAGGTCAAGAGATCAAGACCATCCTGGCCAACATGGTGAAACCTCATCTGTAATAAAAATACAAAAATTAGCTGGGCATGGTGGTGCGTGTCTGTAGTCCCAGCTACTCGGGAGGCTGAGGCAAGAGAATCACTTAACCCAGGAGGTGGAGGTTGCAGTGAGCCAAGATAGCACCACTGCACTCCAGCCTGGGGAGAGAGCAAGACTCTGTCGCAAAAAAAAAAAAAAAAAAAAAAAATCAACCAAGAACTTAATATCCAGCCAAACTAAACTTCATATGTGAAGGAGAAGTAAGGTCCTTTTCAGACAAACAAATGCTAACGGAATCTGTTACCACCAGACATGCCTTACAAGAGGTACTTAAGCGAGTGCTAAGCACGGAAGTGAAAGACTGTTAATGGCCACCAAAAAATACATTTAAGTACATAGACCATTGACGTGTAAAGTAACTACACAATCAAGTCTGCATAATAACCAGCTAACAACATAATGGCAGGACCAAAGCTATAAATACCAATATTAACTGTGAATGTAAACAGTATAAATGACCTGCTTAAAACTCACAGAATGGCAAGTTGGATAAAGAAGCAAAGCCCAACTGTATCTGTTGTCAAGAGATCCAGCTCATATGCAACAATACTCATTGGCTTGAAGTAAAGGGATGGAAAAAAATCTACCAAGCAAATGCAAAACAAAAAAGGGTAAGCATTGTTATTCTAATTCAGACAAAATAGACTTTAAACCAACAACAATCAAAAACACAAAGAAGGGCACTACGTAATGATAAAGGGTTCAATTCAACAAGAAGACTTACTGTCTGATAGATAAATGTGCTCAAAACTGGAGCATTCACATTCATAAAACAAGTTCATAGAGACCTATAGAGAGACTTAGATAACCACAGAATAATAGTGGGAGAATTCAACATCTCACTGACGGTACTAGACAGATCATAGAGACAGAAAATGAACAAAGATATTCAGGACTTGAAGTCAACACTTGGCTAAATGGACCTAACAGCCATCTACAGAACACTCCACCCAACAACAACAGAATATATCTTCCTCTCATCTGTACATGGCATATATTGTAAAATTGATCACACTATCAGTCTAAAATTATTTTCAATAAATTAAAAGAAACCCCAGAAATCATGCCAACCACACTCTTGGACTGCTCAGTGTAACAAAAATAGAAGTCAACACTAAGAAGAACTCTCAAAACCATACAATTACATGGAAATTAAACAACCTGTGCCTGAATGACTTTTGGGTAAACAATGAAATTAAGGCAGAAACCAATAAATTCTTTGAAACTAATTAAAACAAAGATACAACATTCTAGGCTCTCTAAGACACAGGCAAAGCAGTGTTGAGGGAAAAATTTATCGTGCTAAAGGCCCATATTGAAAAGTTAGAAAGATCTTAAATTAACAACCTAATATCATACCTAAAGGAAATAGAAAAACAAGAATAAACCAACCCAAAGCTAGCAGAAGAAAATAAATAACCAAAATCAGGGCAGAATGGAATGAAATTGAGTCATGAAAAGCCATACAAAAGATAAATGAAACTAAAAGCTGTTTCTTCGAAAGAATAAATAAATTTGATAGGTCACTAGCTAGACCAATAAGAAAAAAAAAAAAGAGAAGATACAAAAAACACAATCAGAAATGGTAAAGTGGACATTACCGCCAACCACACAAAAATACAAAAAACTCTCAGAGACTATGATGAACATATTTATGCAAACAAAGTAGAACACCTACAAGAAATGGGTAAATTTCTGGAAACATACAACCTCCCAAGATTGAACTAGGAAGAAATTGAAATCCTGAACAAACCAAAAATGAGTTCTGAAACTGAATGTGTAATAAAAAGTCTTTGAGCCAAAAAAAAAAAAAAAAGCAAGCCCAGGACCCAACAGATTCACAGACAAATTCTACCGGAAGTGTAAAGAAGAGCTGGTACCAATGCTACTGAAATTATTCCGAAAAAATGAGGAGGAAGGATCCCTCCCTAACTCATTTTATGAGGTCAGCATCATTCAGATATGAAAACCTGGCAGAGACACAACAAAAAAGAAAACTTCAGGACAGTTATCACTGATGATCATAGATGCAAAAATCCTCAATAAAATACAAGCAGACTGAATCCAGCAGCATATCAAAAAGCTAGTCCACTATGATCAAGTAAGCTTTATCCCTGGGATGCAAGTTTGGTTCAAGATATACAAACCAATAAATGTGATTCATCATAAAATAGAACTAAAAGTAAAAACATCCGTTCATGATATAAACCCTCAACAAATGAGTTACTGAAGGAGCATACCTCAAAATATTTATGACATTTATGACATTTATGACATTTATGACAAACCCACAGCCAACTTCATACTGAATGGGAAAAAGCTGGAATATTCCCTTTGAGAACTGGAACAAGACAAGGATGCCCACTCCCACTACTCCTATTCATCATAGTGCTGGATGTCCTAGCCAGTGCAATTAGGCAAGAGAAAGAAACACAGACACCTAAATAGGAAGAATGGAAGTCAAACTATGCCTCTTCATAGGTGAAACACTTTTATACCAAGAAAACCCCATAGTAGCCTATCGAGAGCTCTCAGATCTGACAAAAGACTTCAGCAAAGTTTCAGGATACAAAAATCAATGTACAAAAATCTGTAGCATTTCTATACACCAACAACATCCAAGCTGACAGCCAAATCAAGAATGCAATCCCATTCACAGTAGCCACAAAAAAACTACAAAATACCTTGGAATACAGCTAAGCAGGGAGGTGAAAAATCTCTAAAATGAAAATTACAAGCGAGTGCTCAAAGAATCAGAGACAACAGAAACAAAAGGAAAACATTCCATGATCACAGATAGGAAGAAGCAATATTGTTAAAATGGCCATACTGTCTAAGGCTATTTACAGAGTCAATGCTATTCCTATCATACCACCAATGACATTTTTCACAGGATTAAAAAAAAGCATTCTAAAATTCATTTGGAGCCAAAAAAAAGAAAAAAAAAAGCCCAAATAGCCAAAGCAATCCTAAGCAAAAAGAACAAAGTCGAAAGCGTCACACTACCTGACTTCGAACTGTACTACAATGCTGCAGTAAGCAAAACAGCACGTTTATGCTCAGGAAAAGAAATAATCAGCAGAGTAAAAAGACAACCTATAGAGTGGGAGAAAATCTTTACAAACTATGCATCCAGCAAAGTACTAATATCCAGAATCTATAAGGAACTCAAAAACAGACATAGACCAGTGGAACAGGTTACAGAATGCAGAAATAAAGCCGCACACCTATAGCCATCTACTCTTCAACAAACTTGACAAAAACAAGCAATGGGGAAGGGAATCCCTACTTGGAAATTGTGCTGGGATAACTGGCTAGCCGTATGCAGAAAATTGAAACTGGACTCCCTATGTTTCACCGTTTACAAAAATCAACTCAAGGTAGATTAAAGACTTAAATGTAAAACCCAAAACTATAAAAACCCTGGAAGATAGCCTAAGAAATACCATTCTGGATACAGGCCATTCTGGACATATCCTAGGAAATTTCAATTCTGGAAAACACTTTATGACAAAGATGCCAAAAGCAATTGCAACAAAACAAAAATTGACAAATGGGACCTAATTAAACTAAAGGGCTTCTGCACAGCAAAAGAAATCATCAACAAACAACCTATGGAATGGGAGGAAATATTTGCAAACCATGCATTCGACAAAAGTCTAATATCCAGAATCCAAAAAGAACTTAGAAAAATCAACAAGCAAAAATCTAACAACCCCATTAAATGGGCAAAGGACAGGACAAGACAATTCTCAAAAGAAGACAAACATGTAGTCAACAAGTATACGGAAAAATATTCAACATCACTAATCATTAGAGAAATGCAAAACAAAAGTGCAATGAGATACAACCTCACAGGAGGCAGAATGGCTATTATTAAAAAGTCAAAAAGTAATAGATGCTGGCGAGCTTGGGGAGCTACTCCCAGGTCTTTGGAAGGCTGAGGCATGAGAATTGCTTGAACCTGGGAGACAGAGGTTGCAGTGAGCTGAGATTGGGCCATTGCACTCTAGCCTGGGCAACACAGCAAGACTCCATCTCAAAAAAAAAATACAGAAAGAGAAAGAAAGAAAAACCCACAGCCAACATTATACTGAATGGGGAAAAGTTGAAAGCATTCCCCCGAGAACTGGAACAAAACAAGGTTGCCCACTTTCACCACTTCTATTCAACATAGTACTGGAAGTCCTAGCCAGAGCAATAAGAAAAGAGAAAGAAATAAAGGGCATCTAAATCAGTAAAGAGGAAGTCAAACTGTTGCTGTTCCTGATGATATGATCATATAATGAGAAAACCCTAAAGACTCATCCAAAAAGCTCCTAGATCTGATAAATGAATTCAGTAATGTTTCAGGATACAACATCAATGTACACAAATCAGCAGCACTGGTATACACCGACGGTGACTGAGCTGAGAATTAAATCAAGATCTCAATCCCTTTTACAACAGCTACAAAAAAACCAAAACAAACAAACAAACAAAACCAAAGAAAAAACCCCAAGCAAACTAACTTAGGAATATACCTAACCAAGGAGGTGAAAGAGCTCTACAGTGAAAACTACAAAACACTGCAGAAAGAAATCATAGATGACACCAAACAAATAGAAACACATCACATGCTCATGGATAGGTAGAATCAATATTGTGAAAATGACCATACTGCCAAAAGCAATCTACGTCATCATTCTTCCCTGAACTAGAAAAAGCAATCCTAAAATTCATGTGGAACCCAAAAATAGCCCGCATAACGAAAGCAAGACTAAGCAAAAACAACAAATGTGGATGCATCACATTTCTTGACTTCAAGCTATACTATAAGGCTATAGTCACCAAAGCAGCATAATACTGGTATAAAAATAGGCACACAGACTAATGGAACTGAATAGAGAACCGAGAAATAAAGCCAAATACTTAAGCCAACTGATCTTTAACAAAGGAAACAAAAACATAAAGTTGGGAAAGGACACCGTATTCAACAAATGGTGCTGGGATAATTGGCAAGCCATATGTAGAAGAATGAAACTGCATCCTCATCTCTCACCTTATACAAAAATCAACTCAAGATGGATCAAAGACTTAAATCTAACACCTAAAACTATAAAAATTCTAGAAGGTAACATTGGAAATACCCTTCTAGACATTTGCTTAGGCAAAGACTTCATGACCAAGAACCCAAAAGCAAAGGCAACAAAAACAAAGATAAATAGATGGGACTTAATTAAACTAAGAAGCTTCTACACAGCAAAAGACATAATCAGCAGAGTAAAAAGACAACCTATAGGGTGGGAGAAAATCTTTACAAAACTATGCATCCAACAAAGTACTAATATCCAGAATCTATAAGGAACTCACACAAATCAGCAAGAAAAAATCAAATTATCCTATCAAAAAGTGTGCTAAGGACATGAATAGACACTTCCCAAAAGAAGATATAAATGGCCAAGAAACATGAAAAAATCCTCAATATCACTAATTATCAGGGAAATGCAAACAAAACCACAATGCGATACCATCTCACTCCTCCAAGAATAGCCATAATCAAAAAATTAAAAAAAATAGATGTTGCCATGGGTGTGGTAAAAAGGGAACACTTTTACACTGCTGGGGGGAATGTAAACTAGTACAACCACTATGGAAAAGAGTATGAAGATTTCTTAAATAATTAAAAGTAGATCTACCATTTGATCTAGCAATCCCACTACTGGGTATCTACCCAGAGGAAAAGAAGTCATTATATGAAAAAAACACTTGCACATACGTTTATTGCAGCACAATTTGCAATTGTGAAGGATATGGAACTAGCTCAAATGCCCATCAATCAAAGAATGCATAGAGAAAATGTGGTGTATATATATATATGTGTATATGCACACATATATGTGTATATATGTATATATATATATATGTATGTGTGTATATATATACACACACAGACCATGGACGGAATACTACTCAGCTATAAAAAGGAATGAAATAATGGCATTCACAGCAGCCTGGAAGGAGTCGGACACCATTATTCTAAGTGAAGTAATTCAGGAATGAAAAAACCAAACATTGTATGTTCTGACTTATAAGTGAGAGTTATGCTATGAGGATGCAAAAGCATAAGAATGATACAATGGACTTTGGGGACTTAGGGGGAAGAGTAGGAGGAGGGTGAGGGATAAAAGACTACACCTTGGGTGCAGTGTACACTGCTCTGGTGATGGGTGCACCAAAATCTCAGAAATTGCCACTAAAAATATTTTCCATGTAAACAAACACCACCTGTTCCTTAAAAACTAATGAAAAAAATAAAAAAGACATGAGATCAACCTAAATGCCCATCAATGGTGAACTGGATAAAGAAAACGTGGCACATATACACCATAGAATAATACACAGCCATAAGAAAGAACGAGATCATGTCCTTTGGAGCAACGTGGATGGAGTTGCGGCCATTATGCAAAGTGAATTAATGCAGGAACAGGAAACCAAATATCCCATATTCTCACTTATAAGTGGGAGCTAAACACTGAGTACACATGGACAGAAAGAAGGGAACAATCGTCACTAGGTGAATTTGAGGGTGGAGGGTGGAAGGAGGGGGAGAATAGAAAAACTACCTATTGGGTATTATACTTACAACCTGGGTGACAAAGTAATCTGCATACCAAACCCCTGTGACATGCAATTTATCCATATAACAAGCCTGCTGATGTACCCCTTGAGCCAAAATAAAAATTGGAAAAGAAAAAAACTCCTAAGAGTTGTCACTTTGGGTGGAGTTATGGGCATTATGATTTGAAGGCATAGTTTAAGGTCATTCCTCCTTTATTTATAAAGTTCTAATTTTTAAAATAAAAGTACATTTGAGTATTTTATTATAAACATTAATTTAAAAATTCACTGGATTTTGTAGTAACTATGTAATGGATGAACTTTGCTATGAGTGTCATTGGAATGGATAAGCAGAGACAAAATTTGCTGAATTAAGAAATGAAAAGGAGTTAGGATCTAGAGACAGTAGTTAGAGACTTATTTTGAGGAATTCAAACATAAGACAAATGGATGGTAGATAAAGATGGATGGGGCATTGGATATACGGCAAGAGTTTTTGTTTGCTTGCTTTCTTTAAAATGGGAGAGTTTATATTTATACACCTATGTCTATATAAAATGTTTTTCAAATATATATATACACATACATATATATGAAATGTGCAACTGTATTTACATATAGTTATGAGGAATAGGCCATTAGATAGATTAAAACATACAGATATAATACAGATGAAAAGGAATAAATTGATCACGTGAATTTTCTTGATGATAAACATTTAGGGGCTATGAATGTTTGTTAAAAAAATTTCGTGCAATTTGGGACATGCTCTGCTTTTAATCAACTGCTTTCCAAGGATTTTAACACTGTGAAATGAATTTTAATAGAGCTTTTCTATACAATATTCTGAATATTTTAACAGTTTTAACCAAGCATCCTTAATTGAATATTTTCATAAGAAAAAATGAGAAATAAATTACCCTAATAGAATTGCCCATTGCCAGGGAAATTTCATAATGAAGTGGGAAAAAACAGCAGCTGCACTTGCCTCCATAAGGCATGGACCTACAGCCAATCTGAAACAAACCACCTTCAAATGCCTCCAAGCCTGAAACACAAAACAGTCATATTTGATACATTTACAATGGCCAAAAAGAAAATTATTTTAACAAATGTTGGACTATAAAGTCTTTTTTCATAAGAAGTTTCACTAAACAAAATCTCATTTCAACAGATTGTCCCACTGGACTTTGAACTCTATTATATTTTATATGTCATCATAGGTTGGATTATAAACAATTTCATCTTTCATAAAATATTATTGTATTTTAATTATTAAAAGACCAATTTTACTGTGATTAAATAGCTAATGCTACCTTCCTGAACTTTCCTAATACATAGTATAATAATAGTGTCCTATTAGTGTTTTCCCATTGACTTTTTGATATGAACTGTTTGATTAACGTGATAAGTATAAATACAATACTAACATGCCAAAGAAAATAACTTAAAAACTGCATAATTCATTTTAAAAGAGAGAACTTTTCAATTTTCTCCTTGGTTCATACTTTCTACTGGAGAATATAATCTCATTGGCTATAATTATTTATGCTCTTGAGCTATTTCTATTAAACCACATTTGCCACATTTATTTGAGTGGCTGTCATATTCATGAATAGTCATCTTCTTATAGATGGGATTTATGATCCCTAGAATGTAATATTTTAAGAAATGCTTTAAAAGATTAGATTTTACAATAATGCAAAGATAATCAGGAACATAATCCTGTAGAGAAAACATAATAAAAAATTACTGAAATCCTTAATCTCCCTAAAAAAATAAAAAGAATTGTATAAGTTTTTTTTTTTTTTTCTGTATGTGACATTTTTTCTTTTTTTTTAATTATACTTTAAGTTTTAGGGTACATGTGCACATTGTGCAGGTTAGTTACATATGTATACATGTGCCATGCTGGTGTGCTGCACCCACTAACTCGTCATCTAGCATTAGGTATATCTCCCAATGCTATCCCTCCCCCCTCCCCACACCCCACCACAGGTTTTTCTTATAAAACATTTGTTTGTTTGTTTTGTTCTGTTTTTTGAGACAGAGTCTCACTCTGTCCCCCAGGCTGGATTGCAGTGGCACTATCTCAGCTCACTGCAACCTCTATCACTCAGGTTCAAGCGATTCTCTTGCCTCAGCCTCCAGAGTAGCTGGGATTACCAGGTAAATGCCACCATGCCCGGCTAATTTTTGTAGATTACAGGCATGAGCCATCATGCTCGGCCTATTTTTCTTTATCTTAGGTTTGTTTACAGACTCCACTTGGAACAGGTAAATAAAATTTTTGCTTATTTTTCTTTCTCACCATCCTCTAATATTTGAAATAACCTTACTCGATTTGTAATTGTAAATCTACCTGTGGATCGAGTCCAAGCCCAGCTCGTATTAGAATAATGTTAAGGGCAATGCTTCTTAAAATTGAAGACCATGCGTTAGGAACATGGACATGTTCATTGATGAATGGAACATTCCTAATTGTAAAACCAGCCAGTAACATCCCTTAAAAGAAAGAAAATAAACATACTTGACAGTTCATTTTTCTGAGAAAGAAAACAGAAATGTTTACTTTATTTTCTAATGCACTATGTCTCTCATTATTTTGGTAAAGGGCAGGTTACAAGCAAGTAGAGAAGGCAGCATGAATAAAGGAATGGCGATAAGAAACAATACACCTAAATGGGGTTCAACAAGTAATTTAGTGTTGCTGGAATATACAGGGCAAGGAAAGGAGGGAGGAGAATGAGCTTGGTGGGCCAGATCATAGAAAGGTCTCCCCCGACTTTGGCAAAGTAAGGCACCATGGGAAGGTTTTAGGCAGGAAGTAACATAATGAGTCTTGCGATTTTTATATGAGGGTCTTGGTGAATTAGTTAGGGATAAAACTGGAGACAGAGACCAAATTGAAGGCTCTGCCACAGTCCACGCAAAAGTTGGAAACAAATAGCCCAAGCTAGAGCAAAAGAGAAAGTTTGGAGAGGAGGAAAGTGATTCAATAAATACTTGGAAGGTGCTGCAAGAAAACTGTGGATACAGAAGGGACAGCAGAGATAAGATGTAGAGATTATCTCTACTGACAGTGTACTGAATATATATTTATTTTTGGGGACAGGGTCTCATTCTGTTGCCCAAGGTGAGTGCAGTGATGCAAACATGGCTCACTGTAGGCTTAAACTCTTGAGCTCAAGTGATCCTCTTGCCTTAGCCTCCTGAGTAGCTGAGACCCAGAAAAATTTTTAATATTTTGTAAAGAGAAGGTCTGCTATGTTGCCCAGGCTGGTTTTGAACTCCTGGGCTCAGGTGATCCTCCTGCCTTGGCCTCCCAAAGTACTGGGATTATGGGCATGAGCCACCATGCCTGGCCCACTGTACTGAATATTTAGACATATTTGAATACAGTAAGTTCTCACTTAACATCATCGATAGGTGATTGGAAATGGCAACTTTGAGTAAAATGGTATATAACAAAACCAATTTAACATAGGCTAAGTGATATAAAGAAGAGTGAATTTCCTACAGCATATTTCTGGTCACAAAACATCACCAAACTTCTAAATAAAGATCCAAAACACTTCTAGTATTAAACAATGAAATAAATGTGAGCTCTACATACATTTTACAAAGTTTTATAAAAACAAATAAGATAATTCTTTACTTAATTTTTGGTGAATCCACGAGTGATGGTGGTTATAGCAGTGATGGTTAAAATCAAAGAATAAATGTTTACAAAGTGAAAATTGTAAGGAGCACCTCCTCCCACTATGCAGCTCAAAAACAAACACAAATATGGTAGGTGGCTGAGAGTTTTCATATCACATTGTTTATTGTTTTGCATTTGTATGGTTATCATATACTTAACAAAATTTTATTTTACAATAATTTATATTCATTCATTTTTTCATTGTACAATCCACTAGTTCAGGGTCATTGTACAATCCACTAGAACAGTAGTTCAGGGTCAAAGGTGATTGAAACTTAATCCAAAAAAATCAAAGAGGGACTACCTTCCTAACACATTCTATGAATCTAGTATCACAATTATACCCAAATCAGGCAAAGCCATACACACACACAAACACACACACACACACACACACTCCACCGGTCAGTATCCCTGATGAACATAGATGCAAAAATTCTCAACTAGCAAAATGAATTCTATAGTACATCAAAAAGATAATATAGTTAAGTGTGTTTTACTCCAGAAATACAAGGATGGTTAAACATGTGAATCATTCTTCCATAAAGAGATGCACACACATATGTTCATTGTGGCACTATTCACAATAAAAAGACATGCAATCAACCTAAATGACTAAATAAAGAAAATGTGGTACATATACACCATGGAATACTATGCAGTCATAAAAAAGAATGGCATCATGTCCTTTGTAGCAACATGGATAGAGCTGAACACCATTATCCTAAGTGAAATAACTCAGAAACAGAAAACTCAAATACCACATGTTCTCACTTATATGTGGGAGCTAAACAATGGGTACATATGGACATAAAGATGGAAATAATAGACACTGGGGAGTCCAAAAGGAGAGAGGGTTGGAGGGTTAAGGTTGAAAAATTACCTATTGGGTATAGTATTCACTGTTTGGTGATGGGTTCACTAGAGCCCAAATCTCACCATTATGCAATATATCCATGTACCAAACCTGCACATGTACTCCGTGAATCTAAAATTTTTAAAGGTTCTATTAAACAAAAAAGCAACAGGAATAATGTGCTAAGGATATTAAATTTATTTCAAAAATAAATTTTGGGTAAAACTTGTGTGTGTATATATGTAGACAGAGAGAGAAATAAATGCCCATATAAAGGATCTGTACACACACACACACACGCAGTAAATACACACATGAAGAAACTATATAAAACATACTACATTGAAATATTGCTGAATTATAACTAATTCAACAAGAAAATGTTCAAAATTTGCATATAGTCAATAATAAAGAAAAGAGAGCTAATTATATGCTTACCAAGAAGAGGTGGAAATGGCGGCACTAAAGGTATTCTAATGAGTTGTAAATTTTTTCCCCCAATAATGGCACTATAAAAAATAATTAACAATCCAAATAAATTTCCACCAGGGAGAGCTTCAGAGCCTAAGATTGACCAGGTCATGTACCATATCACAAACAGTGTAACTCCTGAAATACGAAAAAGTGAACAGCTATATATCTACATACACATAGATGTATACAAACAAAGGATCAATTCTCTTTTATCATATATACTAATAGCCAGTTCTATAAAATGATACATGGTATAGATCAACATTGCTTACTAGTTTGGTGAAAGAGATATCTGCTTAACATATATTCCAAATAACCTGTCAATTTATGAAGTAGGTTTTAAACAAAGTGTTTTCACTTTAAAAATATTTAAAAACTGTATGTGGGCCAGGTGCAGTGGCTCACGCCTTAATCCCAGCACTTTGGGAGGCTGAGGCGGGCTGGATCACATGAGGTCAGGAGTTTGAGACCAGCCTGGCCAACACAGTGAAATCCCGTCTCTACTAAAAATGCAAAAATTAGCCAGGCGTGGTGGTTCGTGCCTGTAATCCCAGCTACATGGGAGGCTGAGTCAGGAGAATTGCTTGAACCCAGGAGGTGGAGGTTGCAGTGAGCCAAGATTGTGCCGCTGCACTCCAGTCTGGGTGACAGAGTGAGACTCAGTCTCAATAAAAAAATTAAAAAAAATAAAAAAAACCTATATGTGAACTCTTGAAAATGCTAACTTATAATACATGATAGTTAAAAACATCATGGCAATATGATGAGATTTACTTCATTTTATATTTTAAAATAGCTTTTTTATCAGGATGGAAAATAAGAGGATGATTGGCTGTGATAAGAATTCACAACCTTATTGAAGATCACAGTGTCAAGGTGCCAAATCTTTTAACAGGAACCTGCTAAATCTTTTTATTGAAAGGATAATTCAACTGATTTTTGGCATAAATGTATTATAGGAGGTAATGGCTGGAAGAAATGAACCTAGATTTTGTGGGAATAAATATAAAGTATCTTAGATTATGTGTAGGAGGTAGAGGGAGATTAAGATGAGTAGGTATAAATTACTAGACATCTTGTTTCTGGCAAC
The DNA here is from genome assembly GCF_000001405.40 of Homo sapiens. NCBI lineage: Eukaryota > Metazoa > Chordata > Mammalia > Primates > Hominidae > Homo > Homo sapiens. Next base: position 363,091 of record NW_021160000.1, read on the forward strand.
TAGGTGCTACTCACTGAGGAATCCATAGGTTTCTGTAAAGAACAGACAATAACATGGTAAATTTCCATTTGCTAATTAAATGGCTACCTTTATTTGCTATGAATCATAATTGATAATGCTTTTAATATTCTTAAAACTGCTTACATGAATTTTTTAGCTATGACCCCTTTCTGGCTGTATAGAATTTGCCAGGGTAGAAGAGGAGGATTTTGACTCACTCCAGGCAGAGAGTTAGAAGAAAGTTTCTTTCCTCGTCCCCTCTGATTATTGTCATCCTGCAAAACTGGAAGCCTTGGAGGGCTAAACATTTACTAAAATAATGGACCAGGCTGGGCATGGTGGCTCGCGCCTGTAATCCCAGCACTTTGGGAGGCCGAGGTGGGTGGATCACCTGAGGTCAGGAGTTCAAGATGAGCCTGACCAACACGGTGAAACGCCATCTCTATTAAAAATACAGACAATTAGTCTGGCCTGGTGGTGCATGCCTGTAATCCCAGCTACTTGGGAGGCTGAGGTAGGAGAATTGCTTGAACCCAGGAGGCGGACATTGCAGTGAGCTGAGATGGCGCCACTTCACTCCAGCCTGGGTAACAAGAGCAAAACTCCATCTCAAGAAAACAAAACAAAACAAAACAAAAAACAAAAAGATAAATAAAAAACACAGACCAGAAAATGTCATCTTACTGACAAATTGAGAAGACAAGGCAGTTTTTCTTAGCTGGTCTCTGGGTGGCAAAGTCTTTTTTGAGAATTCATATGTAAAACTGGCCTCATCCAACTTATGTGTAGGGCTCAAATTACATTACGTGCACAGGTTAGGGATCCCAAAGTTCTAAACCTACCATAAAAGTGTCCCTGCATAGAAGTATCCCTAGAACATTTACTAGATGCTAATTCAAAAAATCTCTAATAGACACTCCTGATCCCAGACTGCATAAAGTCAATAGAACCACTAGATAGACACTATAAAATATGTATTTTCAAAGGGACTAGATAAAATTTTTAAAAATTGCAGACATGAGAAGAAGAAATTACTTGAAAGTATTGTAAAATAATTAAATAGAACATCTAGAAAAAACTTTAAAATTTACTCAACTGAAAAAAACCCACTAAGTACTGAAATAGCAATCTAGACAAAGCTGAAGAGAGAACACAGCAAAGTAGTAGATATGAGGAAATTATTTAAGAGCATAGCACACACACAAAAAAATGAGGTGGAAAATGAGAGATTTAGATTATGGAAAAGATCTAAAACACAATTATTGGTAGTTTCAGAAACATAATTGAAAGAATGAAGAAGACATAATATTTGAGAAGAAAACTGGCTTCAAATTTTACAGAATTGATTAGGGTTTTTATTGATTTGGACACAGGAAGTCAAATGAGTTCTAATCAGGATTAAGTAAAAATAGATACTTAGATAAAATGTTGAGAAACTATAGACTACCAAAGGCAAAAATAAAATCTTAAATAATCTAGACAGAGAAAGAGAGATTAATCATAATTGAATAAACAATAGAGCAGATTCTCAATTCTTATCAGCAACAATAGAAGATGGAAGATAATTAAATAAAGTCTTCAAAGTACAGAGATAAACACAACATTCAATGTTGAATTCTGTAGCAAGTTAACTGTCACTCGAACAAAAGACAAATGAAAGATATTGTCAAACAAATACATTTAAGAACATATGCCATTTTTTACCAGGGAAAAATCTACTGAAAGATATGCTTTAGAAATATGACATAGAACCAAAAAAGACGGAACAATGTGCAAAGAAATTGGTAAAATGTAGGTTAGTCTAAACAAGTATTTGTTGTGTAACACATTACTAATGAAAATTGTTAATCAGAGGATATAAAGATAAGGTTGGGAGGTGACATGAAAAGGTTGGCAATTTATTTCCACACAAAAAGTCCCCCCAGAAATTGCAGAAATACCAAAAACAGTCATTTCAGGACCCTGAAAACTCATCAAAGGCAGTTATCAAATTTAAGAAGCATTTATTCTTGAAAAAAGTGTTAGGGTTTTGGGTAGGATTGGTAAAAGTCTGAGCCCTTCCTGACTGGGGTTGCTCCCTGATATGGTTTGGCTTTGTGTCCCCAACCAAATCTCATCTTGAATTGTACTCCCATAATTCCTATGTGTTGTGGGAGGGACCTGGTGGGAGATAATTGAATCATGGGGGTGGCTCCCCCCCATACTGTTCTCGTGGTAGTGGATAAGTCTCACAAGATCTGATGGCTTTATCAGAGTTTTCCGCTTTTGCATCTTCCTCATTTTCTCTTGCAGCCACCATGTAACAAGTGCCTTTCACCTCCCGCCATGATTCTGAGGTCTCCTCAGCCACCTGGAACTATAAGTCCAATTAAACCTCTTTTTCTTCCCAGTCTTGGGTATGACTTTATCAGCAGAATGAAAACGGACTAATACACTCCCATCTCTCTTCTCACCCCCAAGCTCAGTTGGGAAAAACTGTAGCTTTACAAGTTTGAAGCTGGATGTAAAACCCAGCAGCTTTCCTGTTAGGGCTGCGGGCAAGGGGGGATTTGGTATGGAGTGGAGGGAAGAAATCAATGGTTTTGCCAGTTAAATATAGCAGAGTGGTTTGGGAATGAACAGAGAGAATTGCAGATTTGCTAGTCTGAGGTTGCAGTTTCAATTGGGGAAGTGGAAGACAAGACAAAAATTTAAATGAGAGATCCTGAGGGTCAATAGGTGCAGCAAACCACCATGGCACATGTATACCTGTGTAACAAACCTGAATGTTCTGCACATGTATCCTGGAACTCAAAGTAAAATTAAAAAAGAAAGAAAGAGAAAGAAGGAAAGAAGGAAAGAAAGAAAGAAAGAAAGAAAGAAAGAAAGAAAGAAAGAAAGAAAGAGAGAAAGAAACAAAGAAAGAAAGAAAGAGGAAGAAAGAAAGAGAGAGAAAGAAAGAAGAAAGAAAGAAAGAAAGAAAGAAAGAAAGAAAGAAAAAGAAAGAAAGAAGAAAGAAAGAAAGAAAGAAAGAAAGAAAGAAAGAAAGAAAGAAAGAAAAGAAAGACCCACATGCAAGGTTAGAGTTTTCCAGTTCCAAGTTCCAATTCTCTCACTAAGAAGAGTGGCTCACTGTGCCTAAACTGTTTATACAAACAATGTGGTTTACTCTGAACAGCTGCTTTTCCTCTGGGAGTCTAGAATTCTGGTACATGTGAAGGAGAGTAACCTCCGTAAAATCCTGAGTACTGAGTCTCTAATGAGACTCTGGTCCTGGTAGATGACATTACACATGTGCTGTCAAAATTTCATGCTGGGAAAGAGAAACACATCCTTGTAACTCCACAGGAGATGATTCCAGGAAGCTTGTGCCTGGTATCCTCCAGACTTTACCACATACAACTTTTTCCCTTTGCTAATTTTGCTTTGTATCCATTCACTATAATAAATTAAAAATCTGAGTATTACTAAAAAAAAAAAGAGAGAGAGAGAAATCCTGGAAAGGAGAGAATCATAGAAAGTTTGAGAAAACTTCTCCACACATATGGCCAATTGGAAAAGTATGGAAGTGCAGGAAAGACTCAAGAGAGTATGACAAAAAGCAAAAATGAAGTAAGAATTGAGTATTAATTGCAACTTTGAATACATTCACCCACCCACCCACAGATTATTTGGCAGAGAGTGGAAGCCTTACTAGCTTTAATATAATGTCTCTCCAAAATCAAGCTATGCAACAGACACAGAGGAAATCCCTAGAAAGACAGGCTAAAACAACAATAACAGCAACAACACAATATAAAAGACATCAATGCTGAAAACCACTGGGCAGAAGGATTACACAGCACAAGTATAGGCCAATTACCAAAACATAACAACAACAAAGACAATAACAAATAAAAACCAGATCCAGATTTGCTATAATGTGTAATTAAAGTGTTTAGTTTTCAATTAAAAATTATCAGACATGTAAGGAAACAGGAAAATGTGGCTCATACTCTGGAAAAAAAGCAGTGAATAGAAACTGTCTCAATTCAGATATTGGATTTAGAAAGAAAGTTTTCAAAGTATATATTATAAATATGTTCAAATTAAAAGTATGATAATGTGCTGTCCAATAGAAAATATGAATAAGGGGACAGAATATGTTTAAAAATAGAATCTAGAATTGAAAAGTACAACAGTTAAAGTGAAAAAATCACTAGCGAGGTTCAATAGCATATTTGACCTTGTGAAAGAAAGTATCAGTGAACTTGAAGGTAGACCAATAGAGGTTAATCAATCTGAAGAACAAAAAGAAAAAAGAATGAAGGATAATAAACAGATCCTCAGAAATTTATGGGATACCATCAAGAGCACTAACATATGCATAATGGGAATTCCAGGAGAAGAGAGAGATAAGAGGGCAGAAAAATATTTGAAAACATGTCTGAAAACTTCAAAAATGCTATGAAAAACATTAATCTTCAGATATAAGAAGTCCAACAAATCTCTAGTAGGATAAACACAAAGAGATTCACACCTAGAGCCATCCTTGTCAAATTGGTGAAAACCAAGGATAATAAGAAAATCATGAAAGTAGCAAGAGACGACTTATCACATACAGGGGAACAGTAATATTATCAATACTGGCATTTTTATCTGAAAAAAATGGAGGTCTTATGAAGCGACATTTCAAAAGTGGAGGGAAAAATAACTGTCAATTAAGAATTCTGTATCCAGTTAAATGATCCTTCAAAAATGGAGCTGAAATAAAGACATTTCCAGATAAATAAAAATAAAAAGAACTTATCCTTGCTAAAGAAACACTAAAGAAAATGCTTTTAAGATAAAAGGATATGACACCAGATGGCAACTTGAACCTATAAGGAATAAACAGCATGGGAAATGGTAAATAAATTTGTAAGTATAAAAGATTGTATGTGTGTATGTGTGTGTGTGTGTGTATGTGTGTGTGTGTGTGTGTGTATTCTGATTTCATCTCTTTTTTTAAAAAAGCATCTGATTATTATAGGCAATAACTACAACAATACTGCTGAGTTCATAGCATATAAGAGATACATTGGATCAAAGTTGCTATATAACACTGGAATTAAGTAAAAATTATTAAACCAAAGTAGATTGTAAAAAGTGAAGATGATTGATTATTATAATCCCCAAAGGTACTTGGGAGGCTGAGATAGAAGTATTGCTTGAGGCTAGGAGTTTGAGACTAGCCCGATCAACACAATGAAACTCTGTTGATATAGTTTGGATATGTGTCCCTGCCCAAATCTCATGTTGAATTTTAATCCCCAAAGTTGGAGATAGGTCCTGCTGGGAGGTGAATGGATCATGGGGCAGATTTCTCATGAATCGTTAGTGCCGGTTAATTTGGTATTTTTAGTAGAGACAGGGTTTCTCCATGTTGGTCAGGCTGGTCTTGAACTCCTGACCTCAGGTGATCCACCCGCCTCAGCCTCCCAAAGTGCTGGGATTACAGGCATGAGCCATCGTGACTAGCCTAAGCTTTACTTTCTAAAAATTATATTAAAGTTGATAATTCTCTATTATCTAATCATAAATTATATCAAATATGCTGTTTTGAATTTTATTTTTCCCTTTAAACATAAAGACACACATTCAGTTCATTGTGCTAGATAAATTACCAGTGCGATCACAAATTAAGAAATGCAATTCAAAGAATTTTGCATACAAGGAGTCCTGAAAGTGTTAATAACTTTTGATGCAAAGATAATTTTATGAAAGTAATAGAAGACTAAAAAAAGGTACAAAACAGTTATTATGTAAGTATCTTGCTTTTTCTGAATCACCCATGATTACTTTTTCCACCAAGCAAAAACTGACTACATACTTCAGACCTGTCTCAAATCTCTCCAGCCTCTTTTCCTAAACCTCCCCAGCCTCTCAGGACAGACAGGCTGCTCCTGTACTTTGTGCATTCTGCTATTTTTAGCAAGAGGCCTATTTTGTCAGTGTTATCTGAATAGTATTTGCCAACTCTCAGACTTTCAGTCACTTATTTGTTTATGTATTTATTTGTCTCCTTTTCTTGTATTTCCCTTTTCCTTTTCTTTCCTTTCTTTTCCCCTTTCCTCCTCCCTTCCTTTGCTTACTTATTTTTTCCCTTTAATTCCCATTCACTATTTCCATGACTGTCAAATAGTAGGTTGATCCTTTAAAATATTCCTTTTTTAAAATTTATTGTACTTTAAGTTCTGGGATACATGTGCAGAACATGCAGGTTTGTTACATAGGTATACACGTGCCATGTGGTTTGCTGCACCCATCTACAATATATCTTAAGATGAATAAAAGTGGAAACACACAGGAGACAGGGTGTATGGGGTGAGTGGGTTGCCAAGTGGATGGTGGCAGGGTGCTCCAGGGTGGCCAGTGGGGCTAAGTGTTGTGTATTCCAAGCATGGCGGGCTTCCTGCCTTCCTGTGTGGCAGACTGTGGCATCAGGTAAGAGCCACTCAGTGCCCACCCTGGCTCCTCCATTGCCTTGCTCTCAGCCCCTGACATCCAGCCCACACTTGGAGATTGAGCTGCCCCCATTGCTCTGGGTCTCAGCCCTGTGATCACCTCAGTAGATATTCCGAGCTTGGCTATGCAGGCAACACTGAGCCTGCATAGTTTACTATTCTTTCATGCATTTCTGTCAGAGAGTCAGCAAAGGTAGTTGACAAAGCCCAAGGGAGAATGTTGAGGGGAGTTGATGAGCTTGACTTTTTCATACAGGATGAAGCCATTGATAAATCTACGTATGCTACAAAGTGGTCAATATGACATGGAGTCACTGAAGACTGGGATATTATGGAAAGGTTCATGGAGCAAGTGGTTTTTAAATATTTTGAGCAGAATCTGAGGACCATTATTTTGCAATGACAGAACTTCCACTGAATACACTAGAAAATACAGAACATTTTTGCAGAAATTATGTTTGAATTATTTAATGTACCAGGATTCTACATTGCAGTTCAGGAGGTACTAGCCTTGGAAGTATCTTGGACATCTCAACAAGTGGGTGAATATATGTTAATGAGTATAGTCATTGACAAAGGAGATGGAGTCACCCTTGTTCTCCCAGTTGTAGAAGGTTATGTAATTGGGAGCTGCATCAATCACATCCTGATTGTAGGTGATACTGTGTATTTCATTCAACAACTACTAAGGGAGAGGGAGGTAGGAATCCCTCTTGAGCAGTCACTGGAGACCACAAAAGCCATTAAGGAGAAATACTGTTACATTTGCCCTGATATAGTCAAGGAATTTGCTAAGTATGATGTGGATCCCTGGAAGTGGATCAAACAGTACACAGGTATCAATGTGATCAACCAGGAGAAGTTCATAATAGATGTTGGTTACAAAAGGTTCCTGCAACCTGAAATATTTTTTTACCCAGAGTTTGCCAACCCAGACTTTATGGAATCCGTCTTGAATGTTGTTGATGAATACAAAACTGTCCCATTGATGTGCATTGTCCACTGTATAAGAATGTTGTTCTTTCAAGGGGTTTGACCATATTCAGGGATTTGAATCTCAACTACAGAGAGATTTGAAGAGTGGTACATGCCAGATTAAAACTCAGTAAGGAGCTCAGTGGCAGGAGAATCAAACCTAAGCTTACAGAGTTTCGGGTGGTAATCCATCACATGCAGCACTATGCCTTATGGTTTGGAAGCTTAATGCTAGCCTCAACTCTGGAGTTATTTCAGGTCTGTCACACCAAGAAGGACTATAAAGAATATGGCCCCAGCATCTGCCACCAGAGCCTTCTCTTTGGAGTAATGTCTTAGTGTCTGCCTTGAAAGCATCATTTAATAGTGTCATGTTGGGGAACAAGTGTCCTTCAGAACCCAGAGAAGACTACCATTTCTAAATGACATTTGGTGTTGACGTCTGAGCAGTATGCTTGCATCACCTAGTGCATGAGGCACAGGGCAGAGTCATTTCAGTAAAAGCCTGTCTTTATGTGTTGACTGCTGTATGCCCACTCCTCCTTCTCTCACTCCCTTTCTTCATGCTTCCCCGGTTTCCCTCCTCCTTTTAACTTCAACTTTTTTGTTGACAAATACCATTCTGAAGGAATTCAAATGTGACTCTGAAAATTGTTAAGAGGAAAAAAAATTACAAAAATGGCCCAAAATAGTTCTCCCCCAGGAAAGAATGCAGTGGTATAAATCCTTTTCCCCCAGCCTATTTTTATAAATAAAACGTTATAAACTTAAAATACAAAAAACCAATAACATAGCAATATTTACAGGATGCAATTAAAGCAGTGTAAAGAGGAAAATGTATAGCTTTAAAAACAGAAAGAAAAAATAATCTAAAATTGATAATTAAAACTTCCATCTTAAGACTCTAGAAAAAGATGAGTAAACCAGGCCGAAATTAAGTAGGATGTATGAAATAAAAATGTCACAGTGGAAAACGATAAATACAGAACAGGATAACATTAAAAACAACCAAAGAAACCCAAAATTGCTTATTTCAGAAAGTCAAGAAGATAAATAATATTTAGTTAAATTGACCAAGAAAAAAGAAAGAAGACACTAATTCCCAAAATCAAGAATCAATGAGAAATATCACCACAGACCCTACCCTTAAAAGGATGTTAAGAAAATAGCATAATAACTTTAAGGCAAAAAATTTGACAACTTAGATAAAACAGAACAATTCCTAGAAAGACACAAATTACCAAAACTGACTCAAGGAAAAAGAAAAAAAACAAATACCAATATCAAGTAAAGAAATTGCATCAGTAATTTCAAATCTTCCTATAGAGAAAAAATATACTTCACTGGTGAATTCTATGAAGCTATTAAGGGAGGAAATAATACCAATGTTACAAAAGCTTTATTCAGCAAATAGAGGATGAAGGAAACTTCCCAACTAACTTTATTTCATTTGATATCAATATTACCCTGATATCAAAACAAGACAAAGACATTACAAGAAAACACAGCTATATACCAATATCCCTTGTGAACCTAGACATAAAAATTCTTAACCAAATATTAGCAAATGTAATTGAGCAACATATGAAAAGGATTTTATACCATAATCAAATGAAGTTTATCTCAGGAATGTGAGGTTGACTTAACATCCAAAAATCAATGTAATAAACTATATTAACAGAATAAAGGACAAAACCATATGATCACCTCAATAGATGCAGAAAAGCATTTGACAGAATTCAACACTCATATATTAAAAAAAATCCCATCAACTTATGAATAGAAGGGAACTTCTTCAAATGATCAAGGCATCTACCAGAAGCCTATAGCCAACATACTTAATGGTAAGAATGTGCTTCCCTCTAGATTAGGAAACATGCAAAGATATCTGTGTTTACCACTTCTATTTAACAATGCACCACAGGTCTTAGTTTGTGCAATAGTCAAGGAAAAAAGGTATGGACAAAAGACAACTCTTTTTATTGTTAGCCTTGTATGCAGAAAATCCTAAGGAACACACCCACACACACACACCCACATACCACACCCCCTCCCAGACTTACTAGAACTAAGAGGGGGGCTTAGTGAGTTTGTAGAGTATATGATCAATATACAAAAATTGGTTATATATATAGTAGCAACAAACAATACAAAGATGAAATAAAGAAAACAATTCCAATCACAATAACATCAAAAATAAATGTCTTAGTTTGTTTTATGTTGTTATAATAGAACACCTGAGACTGTATAAAGAGGTTTATTTAGCTCATGTTTCTCCAGACTGGGAAGTTCAAGAAGCATGGCACCAGTATCTGCTTAGCTTCTGGTGAGGGCTTTAGCAGTGCATCACAACATGGCAGAAGACCAAAGAGGAAGTGGGAATGTGCCAAGAGGCCAAACACAAGGTACAACCATGTACGATGGGTTGCTTTATAACAATCCATTCTCAGGGCAACTAATCTATTCCCACAGGAACCAATCCAGTTTCATGAGAGCAAGAACTCACTCACTATATGAGGACTGCACCAAGCTGCTCAAAATGGCAGAGCCCCCATGACCCAAGCGTCTCCCATTAGGCCTTACCTCTTAAAGGTTCCAACATGATTTTTGACAGAAAGACGGAAACTATGGCATTCCACCCTTGGAACCCCAAACTCATGTCCCTCTTACACTACAAAATGTAATTATTCAATCTCAATGGTCCCCAAAGTCTTAATGTATTCCAGTAACAATTCAAAGGTCAAAGTCCAAAGTCTCATATAAGACTCAAGGCAAGTTCCTTCTAGCTATGAGCCTGTAAAATTAAAAAAAAAAACAAGTTATTTACTTCAAGATACAATGGTGGAATAGTCATATGGCAGACAGTTCCATTCCAAAAGGGAGAAATAGGCCAAAAGAAGAAAGAGGTGACAGGCCTCAAGCAAGTTCAAAACTCAGCAGGGCAGACACTAAATCTTAAAGCTCCAGAATAATTCTCCACTCCATGTGCTACCTCCTGGGCATAATGGGGAGTTTTTATCACTAAAGCCTTGGGCAGCCCCACCTCCATTGCTTTGTTGGGCATAGCCACATGGCTACTCTCACTGGTTGGAGTTGGATACCTGTGGCCTTTCCAGGCTGAGGTTGCATGGTGGCAATGGCTCTATAGTTCTGGAGTCCCAGTGGTGGTCCACTTCATGGATTCACTAGGCATTGCCCTGGTACAGACTCTTTGTGGCAGCTCCAACCCTACATTTCTGCTCAGCATTGCCCTGGGGGAGGTACACTGCAGTGGCTCTGGCCCTGCAACAAGTCTCCACCTGAGCTCCAAGTCTTTTCAGTACATTCCTTAAAATCTAGGTGGCATCCACCATGCCTCCACTTCTCTTGTATTCTGCACATCTGCAAAACTAGTACCACATGGTTGTAAAAACCATCAAGGCTTACCGCTTGCACCCTCCAGAGTGCTGTCATGAGCTGTATCTGAGGCTGCTTGATCCATGACTGCATGTCACCAAGGTTTATGGTTTGTATCCTGTGGAATGGCAGCCTGAGCCACACCTGAGTATGATTGTGCCATGGCTGGGGTGGCTGCTGAGGGCTGTGCCAGAATTTGGGTAGCAGGATCTCAAAACAGCACAGGGCAGTGATGCATGGGTTCTGTCTCTTAAAACCATTCTGTCCTCCTAGACCTCTGGAGAGGCAACCTCAAAAATTTCTGAAATGTCTTCAGGGCCTTTAAAAAAATTGTCTCAATAACTGTCAACTGGCTTTCTTCTCTCAGTGCTAATCTCTTTAGTATTGGTTGTTCTGCTGCACCCTTGGATTCCTCACCTTAAAATGTTCTTTCATTCTCTTCCACATGGCTAGGCTATTAATTTTCAAATTTTTGTGTTTGCTTCCCTTGTCATTTTGCATTTCACTGAATGTAGTAAGGAGTAACTACATAGCTGCTCTATATTTTGCTTAGAAATTTCTTCTGCCAGGTACCCTAGTTCATCACTCTTAAGTTTGGCCTTCCACAAAACCTTAGGGCACAAAGTCTTAGAAACAACACAGCCAAATGTTTGCTATGGTCTAACAAGGATGACTTGGTCTCCAGTTCCTAATACCTTGTTCCTCATTTCTATCTGAGATCTCATTAGAATGGCCTTTGCTGTCCATATTTTTATCAGCATTGTGGTAATGACTACTTAACCAGTCTCTAAGAAATTCTAAACTTTCTCTCATCTTTTTGTTTTCTTTTGAGCCCTCACTGAAATTATCCTTAATGCTCTGTTTATGGCAATACAGTCTTTTTCTAGTCTGCTCCTTCAAACTTTTCCAACTTCTGCCCATTACCCAGTTCCAATGATGCTTCTGCATTTTTGAGAATCTAAATAGCAACATCCCACTCTCAGTACCAATTTTCTGTCTTAGCCCGTTTTGTGTTGCTATAACAGAATACCAGAGACTGAGTAATTTATAAAGAGGTATATTTAGCTTGCAGTTCTGCAGGCTGCAAAGAATGACACTGGCATCTGCTTGGGTTCTGGTGAAAGCTTCAGTGTTGTGTCACAACATGGTAGAAGAAGGTCAAAGGGGAGTAGACATGTACCAGGAGGCCAAGCATGAAGCGTGACCTCACCATATAGCAACTCATTCTCATGGTAACTAATCCATTCCTGAGAGAACTAATCTCACAAGAGTGAGAACTCACTCACCAATGTAAGAATAGTACCAAGCTGCCCACAAAGGAAGAGCTCCCAAGACACAAACACTTTCCATTAGGCCCCACCTCTTAAGCGTTCCAACATGAGTTTTGGTAGAGACACTCAAACTATAGCAATAATAATTAGGAATAAATTTAACAAAATAAGTGTGAAACGTTTGCACTGAAAACTAAAAAACATCACTCAGATAAATGTCTAAATAAATGGAGAGATATATCATGTTAATGGATTAGATTACTCAATATTGTTAGATGTCAATTGATCTACAAATTAACGGCAATTCCTGCCAAAAGTCTAGAAAGATTATTGGAAAAATTGACAAGCTGATTCTAAAATTATATAGAAATACAAAAATACCTAGAATAGCCAAAACAATCTTGCTAAGTAAGAATGAAGTTAAAGTACTTAATACTGCCTTATTTTAAAATTCAGTGTAAAGCAACAGTAGTCAAGACAGTGTAGAATCCACATTAAGAGAGATAGATAGATCAATGGAACTAAGTGGAGTTCAGAATCCAATCACATAAATAGTCAATTAATTTTCATCAAAGATGCTAAGACAATTCAATAGGAAAAAGATGTTCTTTCAACAAATGATTCTATAAGAACTGGTTATTCATTTACAAAAACTAAACCTAGATCCTTAGGTCACATACGAAAATTAACTAAAATGGATCATAGACCTAATTGTATGAGCTAAAACTGTAAAACTTCTAGGAAAAAAAATATAGGAGAAAATATTTATGACCTTGGACTAAGAAAAGTTTTCTTAGATATAATATCAAAAACATGTTCTATAAAAGAAAAACAGATAAATTGGACTTCACCAAAATGATGAAATCTTTGCTTTTCAAATATTTCTTAAATAAATGAAAAGAGAGGATCGTTCCAAGATGGCCGAATAGGAACAGTTCCTGTCTGCAGCTCTCAGCATAATTGATGTAGAAGACAGGTGATTTCTGTATTTCCAACTGAGGTACCTGGTTCATCGCACTGAGACGGGTCGGACAGTGGGTGCAGCCCACAGAGGGTGATCCGAAGCAGGGCAGGGCGTCGCCTCATCTGGGAAGCAGCACAAGTGGTCGGGGGATTTCCCCTTCCTAGCCAAGGGAAGCCGTGACAGACGGTACCTGGAAAATCCGGACACTCCCACCCTAATACTGTGCTTTTCCAATGGTCGTAGCAAATGGCACACCAGGAGATTATATCCCATGCCTGGCTCAGCGTGTCCCATGCCCACACAGCCTTGCTTACTGCTAGTGCAGCAGTCCGAGATCGAACTGGAAGGTGGCAGCCTGGGCTGGGAGAGGGGCATCCACCATTGCTGAGGCTTGAGTAGGTAAACAAAGCAGCTGGGAAGCCTGAACTGTGTGGAGCTCCCTGCAGCTCAACGAGGCCTGGCAGCCTCTGTAGACTCCACCTCTGGGGGCAGGGTATAGCTGAATAAAAGGCAGCAGAAACTTCTGCAGACTTAAACATCCCTGTCTGACAGCTCTGAAGAGAGCAGTGGTTCTCCAGCATGAAGTTTGAACTCTGAGAATGGACAGAGCTGCCAGTAGGGATTTACTGACACCTCATACAGCCAAGTGTCCCTCTGAGATGAAGCTTCCAGAAGAAGGATCAGGCAGCAATATTTGCTGTTCTGCAGCCTCCACTGGTGACACTCAGGCAAACAGGGTCTGGAGTGGAACCCCAGCAAACTCCAACAGACCTGCAGCTGAGGGTCCTGATTGTTAGAAGGAAAACTAGCAAACAGAAAGGAACAGCATCAACAAAAAGGACATCCACACCAAAACCACATCTGTAGGTCACCATCATTAAAGACCAAAGGTAGATAAAACCACAAAGATGGGGGGAAACCAGAGCAGACAAGCTGAAAATTCAAAAAATCAGAGCGCCGCTTCTCCTCCAAAGGATTGCAGCTCCTTGCCAGCAATGGAACACAGCTGGATGGAGAATGACTTTGATGAGTTGACAGAAGTAGGCTTTAGAAGGTCAGTAATAACAAACTTCTCTGGGCTAAAGGAGGATGTTCGAACTCATTGCAAGGAAGCTAAAAACCTTGAACAAAGATTAGATGAATGGCTAACTAGAATAAACAGCATAGAGAAGACCTTAAATGACCTGACGGAGCTGAAAACCATGGCACAAGAACTACATGATGCATGCACAAGCTTCTGTAGCCGATTCAATCAAGTGGAAGAAAGGGTATCAGTGATGGAAGATCAAATGAATGAAATGAAGTGAGAAGTGAAGTTTAGAGAAAAAGAGTAAAAAGAAATGAACAAAGCCTCCAAGAAATATGGGACTATGTGAAAAGACCAAATCTAAGTTTGATTGGTGTACTTGAAAGTGATGGGGAGAATGGTTTAGACATGAAATCCTTGCACATGCCTATGTCCTGAATGGTATTGCCTAGGTTTTCTTCTAGGGTTTTTATGATTTTAGGTCTAACATGTAAGTCTTTAATCCATCTTGAATTAATTTTTGTATAAGGTGTAAGGAAGGGATCCAGTTTCAGCTTTCTACATATGACTAGCCAGTTTTCCCAGCACCATTTATTAAATAGGGAATCCTTTCCCCATTGCTTGTTTTTCTCAGGTTTGTCAAAGATCAGATAGTTGTAAATATGCGGCATTATTTCTGAGGGCTCTGTTCTGTTCCATTGATCTATATCTCTGTTTTGTTACCAGTACCATGCTGTTTTGGTTACTGTAGCATTGTAGCATAGTTTGAAGTCAGGTAGCCTAATGCCACCAGCTTTGTTCTTTTGGCTTAGGATTGACTTGGCGATGTGGGCTCTTTTTTGGTTCCATATGAACTTTAAAGTAGTTTTTTTCCAATATTGATTCTTCCAACCCATGAGCATGGAATGTTCTTCCATTTGTTTGTATCCTCTTTTATTTCATTGAGCAGTGGTTTGTAGTTTTCCTTGAAGAGGTCCTTCACGTCCCTTGTAAGTTGGATTCCTAGGTATTGTATTCTCTTTGAAGCAATTGTGAATGGGGGTTCACCCATGATTTGTCTCTCTGTTGGTCTGTTATTGGTGTACAAGAATGCTTCTGATTTTTGTACGTTGATTTTGTATCCTGAGACTTTGCTGAAGTTGCTTATCAGCTTAAGGAGATTTTGGGCTGAGATGATGGGGTTTTCTAGATATATAATCATGTCATCTGCAAACAGGGATAATTTGACTTCCTCTTTTCCTAATCGAATACCTTTTATTTCCTTCTCCTGTCTAATTGCCCTGGCCAGAACTTTCAACACTATGTTGAATAGGAGTGGTGAGAGAGGGCATCCCTGTCTTGTGCCAGTTTTCAAAGGCAATGCTTCCAGTTTTTGCCCATTCAGTATGATATTGGCTGTGGGTTTGTCATAGATAGCTCTTACTATTTTCAGATATGTCCCATCAATACCTAATTTATTGAGAGTTTTTAGCATGAAGGGTTGCTGAATTTTGTCAAAGACCTTTTCTGCATCTATTGAGATAATCATGTGGTTTTTGTCTTTGGTTCTTTTTGTAAGCTGGATTACGTTTATTGATTTGCATATGTTGAACAAGCCTTGCATCCTAGGGATGAAGCCTACTTGATCATGGAGGATAAGCTTTTTGATGTGCTGCTGGATTCGGTTTGCCAGTATTTTATTGAGGATTTTGCATCAATGTTCATCAAGGATATTGGTCTAAAATTCTCTTTTTTTGCTGTGTCTCTGCCTGGCTTTGGTATCAGAATGTTGCTGGCCTCATAAGATGAGTTAGGGACGATTCTCTCTTTTTCTATTGATTGGAATAGTTTCAGAAGGAATGGTACCAGTTCCTCCTTGTACTTCTGGTAGAATTCGGCTGTGAATCCATCTGGTCCTGGACTGTTTTTGGTTGATAAGCTATTGATTATTGCCACAATTTCAGAGCCTGATATTGGTCTATTCAGAGATTCAACTTCTTCCTGGTTTAGTCTTGGGAGGGTGTATGTGTCGAGGAATTTATCCATTTCTTCTAGATTTTCTAGTTTATTTGTGTAGAGGTGTTTGTAGTGTTCTCTGATTGTAGATTGTATTTCTGTGGCATCAGTGGTGATATCCCCTTTGTCATTTTTTATTGCATCTATTTGATTCTTCTCTCTTTTCTTCTTTATTAGTCTTGCTAGTGGTTTATCAATTTTGTTGATCTTTTCAAAAAACCAGCTCCTGGATTCATTAATTTTTTGAAGGGTTTTTTGTGTCTCTATTTCCTTCAGTTCTGCTCTGATCTTAGTTATTTGTTGCCTTCTGCTAGCTTTTGAATGTGTTTGCTCTTGGTTTTCTGGTTCTTTTAATTGTGATGTTAGGGTCAGAAAACACCAAAAAGATACTCTTCGAGAAGAGCAACACCAAGACACATAATTGTCACACTCACCAAGGTTGAAATGAAAGGAAAAATGTTAAGGGCAGCCAGAGAGAAAGGTCGGGTTAGCCACAAAGGGAAGTGCATCAGACTAACAGCAGATCTCTTGGCAGAAACCCTACAAACCAGAAGAGAGTGGGGGCCAATATTCAACATTCTTAAAAAAAGAATTTTCAACTCAGAATTTCATATCCAGCCAAACTAAGATTCATAAGTGAAGGAGAAATAAACTCCTTTATAGACAAGCAAATGCTGAGAGATTTTGTCACCACCAGGCCTGCCTTACAAGAGATCCTGAAGGAAGCACTAAACATGCAAAGGAACAACTGGTACCAGCCACTGCAAAAACATGCCAAATTGTAAAGACCATTGATCCTAGGAAGAAACTGCATCAACTAATGAGCAAAATAACCAGCTAACATCATAATGACAGGATCAAATTCACACATAACAATATTAACCTTAAATATAAATGGGCTAAATGCCCCAATTAAAAGACACAGACTGGCAAACTGGATAAAGAGTCAAGACCCATCAGTGTGCTGTATTCAGGAGACCCATCTAACATGCAGAGACACACATAGGCTCAAAATAAACGGATGGAAGAAGATCTACCAAGCAAATGGAAAGCAAAAAATAGCAGGGGTTGCAATCCTAGTCTCTGATAAAACAGACTTTAAAACAACAGAGATCAAAGAGACAAAGATGGCCTTTATATAATGGTAAAGGGATCAATGCAACAAGAAGATCTAACTATACTAACTATACATGCACCCAATACAGGAGCACCCAGATTCTTAAAGCAAGTCCTTAGAGACCTACAAAGAGACTTAGACATCCACTCAGTAATAGTGAGAGACTTTAACACCCCACTGTCAATATTAGACAGATCAATGAGACAGAAGGTTAACAAGGATTTCCAGGACTTGAACTCAGCTCTGCAACAAGCAGACCTAATAGACATCTACAGAAGCCTCCACCCCAAATCAACACAATGTACATTCTTCTCAGCACCACGTCTCACTTATTCCAAAATTGACCACATAGTTAGAAGTAAAGCATTCCTCAGCAAATGTAAAAGAACAGAAATCACAACAAACTGTCTCCCAGACCACAGTGCCATCAAATTGGAACTCAGGATTAAGAAATTCACTCAAAACCACACAAATACATGGAAACTGAACAACCTGCTCCTGAATGACTATTGGGTAAATAAGGAAATGAAGGCAGAAGTAAAGATGTTCTTTGAAACCAACGAGAACAAAGACACAACATATCAGAATCTCTGGGACACATTTAAAGCAGTGTGTAGAGGGAAATTTATGGCACTAAATAACCACAAGAGAAAACAGGAAAGATCAAAAATCGACACCCTAACATCACAATTAAAAGAACTAGAGAAGCAGGAGCACACAAATTCAAAATCTAGCAGAAGGCAAGAAATAACTAAGATCAGAGCAGAACTGAAGGAGATAGAGACACAAAAAACCCTTCAAAAATCAATGAACCCAGGAGCTGGTTTTTTGAAGAGATCAACAAAATTGATAGACCACTAGCAAGACTAATAAAGAAGAAAAGAGAGAAGAATCAAATAGATGCAATAAAAAATGATAAAGGGGATTTCACCACTGATCCCATGGAAATACAAACTACTGTCAGAGAATACTACAAACCCCTCTACACAAATAAACTAGAAAATCTAGAAGAAATGGATAAATTCCTGGACAAATACACCATCCCAAGACTAAACCAGGAAGAAGTCGAATCCCTGAATAGACCAATAACAGGCTCTGAAATTGAGGTAATAATTAATTAGCCTACCAACCAAAAAAAGTCCAGGACCAGATGGATTCACAGCTGAATTCTACCAGAGGTACAAAGAGGAGCTGGTACCATTCCTTCTGAAACTATTCCAATGAATTGAAAAAGAGGGAATCCTCCCTAACACATTTTATGAGGCCAGCATCATCCTGATATCAAAGCCTGGCAGAGACACAACAAAAAAAGAGAATTTTAGACCAATATCCCTGATGACCAATATCAATATCAATGCAAAAATCCTCAATAAAATACTGGCAAACCGAATCCAGCAGCATATCAAAAAGCTTATCCACCACTATGAAGTCAGCTTCATCCCTGGGATGAAAGCCTGGCTCAATATACGCAAATCAATAAACGTAATCCGTCACACTTCAGCCTTCGAGTAGCTATCAGGTGCGCCACCATGCCCAGCTAATTTTTGTGTTTTTAGTAGAGATGGGGTTTCACCATGTTGCCTAGGTTAGTCTTGAACTCCTGGGCTCAGGTGATCTGCTCGCCTTGGCCTCCCAAAATGCTAGGATTACAGGCGTGAGCCACTGTGCCCAGTCAATCTATGTAGCTTTTCATGGAAGACAAATCTATAAAGAAAGCAGATCATTTGTTTCTTGGGACTTGGGTAGGTGGGAGTGAGGATTTAATGAAAGTAAGCATGAGGAAACTTTTTGAGATTATGTAAGTATTC
This sequence comes from Homo sapiens, assembly GCF_000001405.40. NCBI lineage: Eukaryota > Metazoa > Chordata > Mammalia > Primates > Hominidae > Homo > Homo sapiens. Next base: position 382,108 of record NW_021160000.1, read on the forward strand.
AAAAACTGAATTTTTGTAATTGTTGCACAACTCTATAAATTTGTCAAAACTCATCGAAATGTGCATTTAAAATAAATAAATTTTGTGCTCTGTATATTATACCTCAAAAAAGCTGATAAAATATAAATTGGAAGAAAAGTACTGGAAAACAGTAAGTTAGGAGTCAATGAGGGTGATCCAAATTAATTCATCCTTCAAGATGAAACTAGTGATTTTAATTTTACAATTGGTTTTTTAAATTACTTGTTAATTCAAGTACACATATTACATTTCAAGGGTAATTGTGAATAGAATAGAACTAGAATATACAACTTTTAAACAAATAGAGGGGAAAAACTTTGATCAATCTAATAGAATGCATTGGGGAAAAGAATTGGAGAAATAATATGGTTAACATAAAGCACAAAATATGGTGACAGAAGTAAATATAAATTTATCCATAACCACAATAAACTTAAATGGTCTAAATTAGTTAAAGACAGACACTTGAAGACTGGATAAAAATGTGAAAAGCCAGGTATAACCCGTAATAGTTAAAAATATGAAGACACAAAATTCTGAAGTTATGAGATGAGTAAATGATAAATAAAACAAATATTAACCAATATATGGCTGATATAGTTATTTTCATATCAAAAACTATAATTTAAGACAAAAAACATTCTGAGGAATAAAAGTCATTGTGTAAAGACATGTATGCATGTAACAATTCAACCATAAAATATATGAAGCACAAATTGCAGGATTACAAAGAAAAATGTCTAAATCCTCAACCTTGAAGAAACTTAAACCTCTGAGTCAATGATAATCAAAATGTAGTAAGATTACCTCAGATTTTAACCACTTTATTAAAAAAGCTTAATTTAAAGGAAATATATAGACTTCTGTATGCTCAAATTAGAGAATATATATACTTTGAAGCCTGATAAAGTCTTAGGAGAACTGAACCTATGCTAGCCTATGAATCAAATCACAACAAATAAACATTATAACATGCAGCTTATACTCTGTAACCAAAATGCAATTTATAAGAGAAAAAAATGTAAATTTCTTTCATCTTCAAACTAAAGGCACACCTTAAATAATTTTTCAGTCAAAGAAGACATGAAAACAAAAATCAGAAGATATTTGGAAGTGAGATACTACATAAAAAAACTTGTGAGATAGAGCTGAGGCAGTACTGAAAGGGTAATTTATATCTTTAAATGTTTATATTGAAAAATAGGCTGAAAATTAGTTAAATGTCCACTTTAGGAAGTTTGGAAAGAGAAAAAGAGATTGGGCATGGTGGCTCAGGCCTGTAATCCCAGCATTTTTAGAGGTCAAGGAGGGCAGATTACCTGAGGTCGGGAGTTCAAGACCAGCTTGGCCAACATGGTGAAACTCCTGTCTCTACTGAAAATACAAAAATTAGCTGGGTGTGGTGGTGGGTGCCTATAATCCCAGCTACTTGGGAGGCTGAAACAGAAGAATTGCTTGAGCCAGGGAGGCAGAGGTTGCAGTGAGCCGAGATTGGGCCACTGCATTGCAGCCTGGGCAACAGAGCAAGACTCTGTCTAAAAAAAAAAAAAAAAAAAAAAAAATTGGAGTAAACCTAAATAAAATAAATTAAAGGAAATAAGGCTAAAAGTAGAAATAGACATTAATAAACTATAAACAAAGAAACAATAGGCAAGATTCCCAAAACCAAATGCTGATTCTTTGAAAAGAATAATAAAATAGGCACTCTTCTGGTAACATTGATTAATTAAAAAGAGAAGGCATAAATAAGCAATATTAGGAATAAAAAATGAAGTGTAACATAAAATATGAGTGAAAAAATAATAAAGTGAATACTATAAATGACTATATGACAACAGTCTAAAAACATAAGTGAAATGAACAACTTCGTTGGCTACTATAACTTATAAACACTTAGTCAAAAAGAAATGGGACACCCGAATATTCACGTATCTATTTTTAAAAATTCAATCAGTAAATACTTTTTCATAGAAAACACCCACTAGTATGAGATACTTTAATATGAAAGTTCTACCAAACATTCAAAGAACATATAAATAAGCACTATCATATCAAAATAATTTCAGAGAATGGAAAAAGAGGGAACACCTTCAATTCATTTTGTGAGGCTAACATAAATGCAATATAAATATTTAAGATCATTATAATCCAAGAAAATTGGAGGCCAAACTAAGCTTAGATACAAACATCTAAAATAAAATAATAGTAAATCTAGTAATGTATTCTAAAAAAAATTCTGGAGCAGTTGGGTATCTCAGGAATAGAAGCAAACGTTTAACAGTTTGCCCAAGCAGCTTTTATTTTATTTTATTATTTTTAAAGAGACAGGGTCTTGCCCTGTTGCCTGGGTTGGAATAGTGGCACGATCATATATCTCACAGCATCCTTGAACTCCTGGGTTCTAGGGACCCTCTGCCTTAGCCTCCTGAGTAGCTGGGACTACAGGCACACACCACAATGCCTAGCTAATTTTAAAAAAGTTTTTGTTTTGTAGAGATGCAGTCTCACTATGTTGCCCAAGCTAGCCTCAAACCCTTGGCTTCAAATGATTCTTCAACCTTGGTGCCCCAAAGTGTTGGGATTACAGGCGTCAGTCATGGCACCTGGCCTGAGCATATTTTAATAAGTCGCCCCATGTTTGGAGAATTTCTAACATTATTAATATTACTTTCCCAATGCAGAAACCAGGAACACAAGTTTTTAAACTTCCTTTGTCATGAAGGCATAGACACATGATGAACACACTGCTACTGACATTAATTTCTGCTTTTATCTGCATAGCTGGTACCTCCAGGAAAAGGAGAGGAATGAGTTTGGAAAATAGTACACAGGAAGCTTCAACTATATCTATAATGATTATATATATATATATATATATATATATATATATATATATATATATATTTTGAGTCTGGAGTGCAGTGACGCAATCTTGGCTCACTGCGACCTCTGCCTCTGCCTCCTGGGTTCAAGCGATTCTCCTGCCTCAGCCTCTTGAGTAGCTGGGACTACAGGTGCATGCCATGATGTCTGGTTAATTTTGTATTTTTTAGTAGAGATGGGGTTTCACCATGTTGGCCAGGCTGGTTTGAACACCCAACCTCAGGTGATCTGCCCGCCTCAGCCCCCAAAGTGCTGGGATTACAGGCGTGAACTACCGTGCCTGGCCAGATAATGCTTAAATTAGAAGGTTGCATGCATAAATATGATATCTTGGACATTGATGAGACCACATAGACAAACTATATAAAGGGAAAAGAGGAAAAGGCCCAGGTCTAAGTCCTGAGTGATATTTCATATTTAGAAGTTAGGAAAAGAAGAATGGAATATGGAAGACAAGAAAGGAAGAAGCAGTGAGGGAAGAAGAAATCCAGTAAGTGGTGCCTCAGAATTAGAAAAAAAAAAAAAGACAAGTGTTTCAATAAGAGAGTGATCATTGGCGTCAAAAGCTGCAAAGTTCTTGAATACGATGCAGACAGAAACGTTCACTGGATTTGGTTAATACACTTAGTCAGATAACAAAAAACCAGCAATTTCACCAGTTACGCTCCTTTTCATACTTCAGAGATGAAGGATAATATTCACTAGCCTATATAATATTCTAGGTTTTGAATGTCAAATAACATAACATAGGTGATTGTGTTAAATGTCAGAATATTTAAGGAATAATTATGTTGTAATATACAGGCCAGCGTGCATTTGTTGCTTGCTGGAGTAGTCAAGTTTTATTTCTGACAAGTCTGCAGTTCCAGTGAGCCTCTCCCTGGCTGAGTAACTCTCACCCATCCATCTGTCAGGGAGAGTTCGCTGTGCATCCCAAGTATCTTAGAATTGGGTAGAAGTTTAGCTTTAATTAGTTTGACCTTGAGTCTAGCAACAGGAGAGGGAACAGGCAGCGAAGAGGTCGTGAATGATGTCCCAGCAGCAGGAGACAGGGAGTGTCATTATCATTCCTGGTCTTCTCACAGGACTCTGAATACAGAGAGTGAGGAAGATTAGGGGGTCCTGTCTGCTGACTCCCTGATGATCTCAGACCCTCTCTGCTCTTTCTGGATGGTGACTTGTTAATTCTGGCATACTATTACTGATAATATATTTATCCTTTTCACTGTGATTTGCCCAATTGTTGCTTTAGCACTGGACCTTGTCAAGAAGTTGTTGGTAGTGGATCCAAAGGCACGTTTTATGAGAGAAGAAGCCTTAAGACACCGTGGCTTCAGGTGGGTGTGGGACAGTGCCTGCTAGCATAAAATACATGGGAAGCCCTGCTGCCTGAGAGACATGAGACAGAGGATAGAAACATGTTTAGTCTGTTTAATCTAATTGTTTTAGATGTATGGGGGGTATCTTGGAGGATGGGTTGCAACCTGTCTTTTTTTTTCTTTTTTGAGACAGGTTCTCCTTCTGTCACCCTGGCTGGAGTGCAGTGGCACGATCTCAGCTCACTGCAACCTCTGACCCCTGGGTTCAAGTGATTCTCCTGCCTCAACCTCCCAAGTAGCTGGGATTAAAGGTGCATGCTACCAAGCCCAACTACTTTTTGTATTTTTTGTAGAGATGGGGTTTCACCGTGTTGGCCAGGCTACAACCTTTTTGATGTTACTCATGGCTGTTGGATGTACAAGCTCACTTTATGTCCTGTTCTGGTTCCACTTGGCTTCCCTAAGTCTCCAGTCTGGCCTGTGTTCTTTTGAGGGCTTGTTCTGGCTCTACCCCCAGCCATGTCCACTGCTCTTCATAGGTGGGCTGCATTCCAGCCATCTTCAACCTTAAATAAGGGAAGTGGGGGAGGGGGAGGAGGGCAGCCTCCCTGGGGAGAATCCAGCTATTTCTCAAGCCCAAGTGACTGGTATAAAGGGTCCCACTGCTTGTTCATTCAGGTGAGTAAATGTGTCCTTAGTGAAGGCCGTCACCTGCACCTTTCATCTGTGTTAGTGCTGTGCTCCTGCTAGGTGTTGGGGCTGCCATTATTAAATCCTGACCTCATTTAGAACTGCCAAGAGTTGGAAGTACGTTTTGGCTTTGCTGGATTAATCTTTAGTTTTGGAATTAGCTATGCCATTGGGCAGGTTTTCTGATAGATGTCTGGTCTTCTCTAATGAGCAGTTCCATTCAACACAGCCATGTCCCTTTCTATTAATTTTCTTTTGGTCTGGGGATTAGTCTGTTCTCACACTGCTATAAAGAACTGCCCAAGACTGGGTAATTTATAAAGAAAGGAGGTTTAATTGACTCACAGCTCCACATGGCTGGGGAGGCCTCAGGAAACTTACAATCATGGTGGAAGGGGAAGAAGGTATGTCTTAATGGCAGCAGGTGAGAGAGCTTGTGAAGGAAGTGAAGGGCGAAGAGCCTTTTATGAAACTGTCAGATCTTGTGAGAACTCACTATCACGAGAATAGCCTGGGGGAAACTGCCCCCATGAGCCAATCACTTCTCAACAGGTCCCTTTCTCAACTCCTGGGGATTACAATTTGAGATGAGATTTGGGTAGGGACATAAAGCCAAACTGTATCAATCCGTTTTCTGTGGAGATGGGGGACAGAACTGGTAGCTTGAGCGAGAGGCTGTTACTTGAGCTAAATGCTGTTTCTCTGGGGATTACTGGTCCAGGAACTCCTTGGTCAATCCAGCCTCAGCCCCGTACTTCTGGGACTCTAGGAAGACTCTCCCCATTCTCTCTTCTAATACTCTACACCCAACAGTTTTGCTCAGGCCAGCTCAGGTTGAGAACAACAAAAACTTAAAAAAAAAAAGAAAAGACAGATATATGTGTTTTGGATGTTGCCCTGGAAACGACAGTCTCCCCAGAAGAAATCTGTCAGATGATTTAGCATTTAATAGACCACACAGATTTGAAACAGCGGGACCCTGGAGGAAAGGGCTTTGGAAACAAAGGGTGCCTTTGCATGTGAGGATTTTAATTTTGATGAAAAAGAGAAACATGTCTTTTGGCTCTTTTCATGTGTCCTATTAGGGAAACTCTTGGGTCTAAATGTAGAGGTACAGGAGCTGTGTTCATCTCTAGCAAAAAAGCAGAGCTGGCCTGTTGAGCCTGGGAACAGGGTTTGCATCTGCCTGAAATTTATGAGCAAGTGTAGCCCATTTTTCTTGTACTTCTTCGTCTCAAAGAAAACTTATTAACATCCAAGGAGAAGATGAAGTTCAACTCTGTGGCAGGATCTCCCTGGAATACTCTTTTAGCCACCTTTTGTTTTTGCAGTAAAAGGAGGAATGAGCATTGAATGAAGACAAGGATGAAGACTGACCATCTAAAATATCTGTTAGTGATAGTTTGGGTTTTATTTTGGGAAAATTCAGTGTTTTCACAAAAACCAAATGGTTTTGTGGGTCTGGCGCTGGATTGAGTGTTGGGAATGTGGATTCTGGTCTCTGTTTTGTCATTAACAGAGTGCCCAGTTTGGGGAGCATCCCTTACATCTACTGTCTGCCTCATATTTACTGCCTGAAATAGAGGATTTCTTCTGTTTGCTTTCAAGGGATATTATAATTTAGTTTTTATTTTATTTATTGGTGGAGACAAGGTCTTCTTCTGTTGCCTAAACTGGAGTGCACTGGTGCAATTATAGCTCACTGCAGCCTCGATCTCCTGGCCTTAAGGGATCCTCCTGCCTCAGCCTCACAAAGTGCTTGGATAATAGGCACAAGCCACTGTTCCTGGCTAATTTAATATTTTGGAATAATTGTAGACATCATGAAGAAAATCAATGTTTATTTATTTATTTCCTTTTTTGAGATGGAGTCTCGCTTTTGTCTACCAGGCTGGAGTGCAATGGTGTGATCTCAACTCACTGCAACCTCCACCTCTGGGTTCAAGTGATTCTCCTGCATCAGCCTCCCAAGTGGCTGGGATTACAGATGCCTGCCACCATGCCCAGCTCATTTTTGTATTTTTAGTAGAGATGGGGTTTCACCGTGTTGGTCAGACTAGTCTCAAACTCCTAACCTCTGGTGATCCACCCACCTTGGCCTCCCAAAGTGCTGGGATTCCAGGCATGAGCCACTGTGCCTGACCTGATTATTTGTTTTAAATATAGGCCTGATTAGGCTTGTGACCACTCTGTTTGGCCTCACTGAATGGCTGCCAAGAGATGGACTTTTGAGAGTGACACTGCAAGATAATTGAGATCCTAAGTAAGGCTGTGAGAGGGTGCAGAGAGGAATCCAGATGAGCTTGCTGCTGTCAAATGGCAATGGGGAGCTACACTGAGAAACTCAAAACAGAGTGATGTGTCCTGCCTTGGCCTCCCAAAGTGCTGGGATTACAGGCGTGAACCACTGTGCCTGGTCCTCCTTTCCTTCTTTCTTTCTTCCTCCTTCCTTCCCCCTCCCCTCTCCTCCATTTCTTTCCCCTCCCCTCTTTCATCCCCCCTCCCTTTTTCCTTCCTTGCTTCTTTCTTTCCTTCCTTCCTCAGGGTCTTGCTCTCTCACCTAGGCTGGAGTACAGTGGCATGATCACTGCACCATGACTTTCAGGCTCAAGCGATCTTCCTGCCCCAGCCTCCCAAGTAGCTGAGACTGCAGGTGCATGCCATCATGTCTGGCTAATTTAAATTTTTTTTTTTTTTTTTTTTTTGGAGACAGAGTCGTACTCTTTTGCCCAGGCTGGAGTGCAGTGGTGTGATCCTGGCTTACTGCAACCTCCGCCTCTCGAGTTCAAGCGATTCTCCTGCCTCAGCCTCCTGAGTAGCTGGGATTACAGGCATGCACTATCACGCCTGGCTAATTTTGTATTTTTAGTAGAGACGGGGTTTCACCATGTTAGCCAGGCTGATCTCAAACTTCTGACCTCAGGTGATTTTCCCGCCTTGGCCTCCCAAAGTGCTGGGATTACCGGCGTGAGCCTCCGTGCCTGGCCTAATTTTTAAATTTTTTTTGTAGTGACAAAGTCCCACTATATTGCCCAGGCTGGTCTCAAATTCCTGGCCTCAAGCAATTCTCCCACCTTGGCCTCCCAAAGTGCTGGGATTATAGGCATGAGCCACCATGCCCAACCTAGTGTTGTAAAATTTCCATATCCATCAAATTGCCAAATGGTGGAGGACTTTGCTGTATCCTCTCCCTTTCCCCACTGTGGTATGCTTGGCTCAGTGGGAAGAGGGGCTGGAGTTGGGTGGGAAAGTAAATGAGGCATTGGAATCAGATAACTCTGGGTCTGTATTGTGCACATGCCACCTGTGAGTGGCTGAGCTGGGCTTCTGGCCAACACGCAAAGGCCACATTCCTAGTTATAGTTGTTCCTTTCACCTTGCTGAAGATGGGGAGAGCTGCACCAGACCACCTCTCAGGGTTTCCTAATGTAAATCCTTGAACCCTGCAGAAGTAAGAATCCAGAGAGGTGGGAGCTACTCGTATACACACTGTTTGTGCCCTCCTCATCTCCCGCTCCTGCAGCATGAAACACCTGTAATGCTTTGTCCTGTTTATTGTCTCCCTTTCTCATTAGACCTGAGCTCTGGGATATTGTGGGCTTAAGTACTTCTGAAAATTTGTATGGCATCTGCTGGGTGAATTTTCCTAGGGTGCTGGGCTGGTTGTTAGGACAGCCTGGGTGACTGGCCTCATTCATGGCAGAGGCAGCAGGTGGAGAGTGGTCCCGGAAGGATTTGAGGATCTGCACGGAGTCAGGCCCGGCCCCTGGCCCCCTGATTGTCACCTTTCTCAGGATCTGGGATGCTAATTCAGAAACTCTTGACTGCTGGAGGCTGTGATTGACCCACTGAGAGCTTTTAGGCATGTGGATGTGAGTCAGCCAGGATTGATGGAACATTGACTGCTAATTGGACTCCTCTGGGAAGGTAGAGGGGGGCAACACATAATGCCTTCGCTGTGGGAGCTTCATCAAGGGCGTGATTCTTGGACGGACATCTTTTCCTCCCTCTTTCCACAGGGGCATGCTACCCCTGTCATTCTAGGAGTTTGCTGTCCTTCAGACACAGCTACTTATGTTTTTAATTCCCTCACAGGATGAAGACATGAAGAGAAAGTTTCAAGATCTTCTGTCTGAGGAAAATGAGTCCACAGCTCTATCTCAGGTTCTAGCCCAGGTATTCGTATTCCTGATGATCACTAAATGTAGTCTGGGCTTAAGGAGCTGATAAGCAAAGATGATGAAATTCAAGATTTTCCTGAGTAGCAATTGCTTAACATTGTTTCAGTTATAATGTAGTAGAAACTCTGTTTGAACTTGATTCACTCCAGCACCCTTAGATTTAAAAATGCAGGATATGTTTAATGTCTAACACATAATAGACAGATAAACACAGCTAGGGATTGTCATCCAAAAGGTCACCTGTAAGGCAATTTCGAAAGACTCTATTAGAGGCTCAAATATAAATTTGTTGGAAAAATTAAAATTTGGGTCAGTAGTTGATTCCTTGATTACAATTTTATTCTTTAAAGTTCTTTGTGAATATAGGTTAATTCCAGTCCTGCTTTTTTTGTTGTTGTTGTTGTTGAATGGTAGCTGTCCTTTTTCCCCACTGTTTCCTCCCCCCCGATTTTTTTTTCTTGAGACAGAGTCTTAGTCTGTCACTCAGGCCAGAGTGCAGTGGTGCAATCTCAGCTCACTGCAACCTCTGCCTCCTGGGTTCAAGCAGTTCTCCTGCCTCAGTCTCCCGAGTATCTGGGACTACAGGTGTCTGCCACTGTGCCAAGCTAATTTTTGTATTTTTAGGTGAGATGGGGTTTTGCCATGTAGGTCAGGCTTGTCTCGAACTTTTGACCTGAAGCGACCTGCCCACCTCGGCTTCCCAAAGTGCTGGGATTACAGGTGTGAGTCACCACACCCAGCCTTCCTCCCAATTTTGTATATGGGAAAACAACTAAGGCACAAAGGTTGTCTTCCCGCAAAAGACCAAGAGTTGGGGCTTCAACTGAGAGGTATTATAGTCCTTTTAAAGTTGATATTTAGAAGAAGATGATCAAGAGGAAGTTGGTTATGCTACTTGCTTTCAGTATACATCATTCAGAGGTCAGAAGCCATAAGGGAGAGAAATATCTATTAGATAAGCATGTCTGAGTTGTGGGCTGTGGTGAGGACTCAGTTGTCATTTTCCTTTATTTTCAGCCTTCTACTAGTCGAAAGCGGCCTCATGAAGGGGAAGCCGAGGGTGCCGAGACCACAAAGCGCCCGGCTGTGTTGTGAACTCCGTGGTTTGAACATGAAAGAAATGTACCTTCTTTCATTCTGTCATTTTTCTTTTCTTTGAGTCTGTTTTTTATAGTTTGTATTTTAATTATGGGAATAATTGCTTTTTCACAGTCACTGATGTACAATTAAAAACCTAATGGAACCTGGGCTTTGTGCTTCTGCTTGATAATCAGTTCTTTAGTTGAATGGCTTTATTATTTATTTATTTGGGACGGAGTCTCACTCTGTTGCCCAGCCTGAAGTGTAGTGGTGCAAGCTTGGAAGCTTGGCTCACTGCAACCTCTGCTTCCCAGGTTCAAGTGATTCTCGGGCCTCAGCCTCCTGAGTAGCTGGGATTACAGGTATGCACCACCATGCCAAGCTAATTTTTATATTTTTTTGTAGAGACAGGGTTTTGCCATGTTGGCCAGCCTGGTCTTGAACTTCTGACCTCAGGTGATCCGCCTGCCTCGGTCTCTTAAAGTGCTGGGATTACACACGTGAGCCACTGTGCCTAGCCTGAATGGCTTTTTTATATTTAAAGTTGTTGTGTGCCTTTCATCTGGAGCTACACCTTGGCTATCACTAGGCAGGTTTTCCAGGATGTCACCCTGGTCTCAGCCTGTGAGAGCTGAATACAAATTCTAAGGGCCCCTTGGAAAGTTCCAGGGAAAGGAGCATAGTGAGGTTGGGGGTGGAGTTTGTAGAGACTGGCTGGCTGGCTGCTGACATCTTCATGAGAACAGCAGGTACCTTGGTGCATAAAAACAGGCCAGGTTATATTCTCATCCTTGCCCTCATAAAGATACAGGTCTACAGTCTCTGAAACCTTTGGGGGTAGATAAGTTGTGAAATTTAATTACCCAATTTTAGGAAGGTGGTAAGGCATATCTACTATTTGTATGTGTAGCACCCCAGTGGAGTCCTACACATGTGGAGTCCTACCCCAGTGGAGACCAAACATGTTAATATTTCCACAGCAAATATTCACAGTAAGAGGGATAGAGAAAGATTATAGGCAGTTGCATATTGATTCATATCAGTCTTTTCTTCCAAATGAGCTACAGTGACTCATTTTTGAGAACTGTTTGGGTTTTGGAAGTGGAGATAAGGCATGGTTATGTCTTGTTGACCCAATAATGACCGGGGAGGCCCTGTGCAAAGACTTACCCTTGGCTGCTCTTGTCCAGGATGAAAATAACTTTTCTGATGTCGTGCAGCTGGTAAATGGCAGAGCTGGGACCCAACCCAGGTCTTTTTGACTCTAAAACTAATGTTCCTTCTTGTCTACTGAATCTGCTTTTATAACTTTGCTTGGTTGATGCTAGGACACTTTGTAGCTTGCTGGCCATGCCATGAATTGAGTGCCAAGGTTCAAAGGCCACTGGCGATTCAGTCAAGGCAGGGTCAAGGGCACACAGCCATTTCCTTAGGAAATGGGGATGGTGGTTGGAAATTTCTATTAAAGGGTATATATAAGCATTCTGAGACTTGGCTGGCCTGGTGTAGGGGGTTTGTTGGGAATTTAGGTGGTTTGCATGTTTAAAGGAATAAGGCTGAGATTGCCAATTAGATAGGTTTTAGCTCATTTGAATATTTAATGTGGAGGCTGTGGTTTCCTGGGACATTTTTCCCATTGTGGAGAGTTAGCCAGCTTTTCTCTGTTTCTTTTTCTTTTTCTTTTTTTTTTAATCGAGATGAAGTCTCATGCTTGTCACCCAGGCTGGAGTGCAATGGTGCGATCTCAGCTCACTGCAACCTCCGTCTACTGGGTTCAAGCGATTCTCCTGACTCAGCCTCCCGAGTAGCTGGGATTACAGGCACCTGCCACCATGCCCAGCTAATTTTTGTATTTTTAGTAGAGATGGGGTTTCACCATGTTGGTCAGTCTGGTCTTGAACCCCTGACCTCAGGCAATCCCCCCGCCTCCCTTCCAAGGTACTGGGATTAGAGGCATGAGCTACCATGCCCGGCCACCCTTCTCTGTTTCCAGAGCATTTTGTATTAACTCCTTCTCATGATATATTCCATGGCAGGCTGAATAATGGCCCCTCCAAAGTGTCCTCAACTTAATCCCTGGAATCTGTGACTATGTTCCTTTCCATGACAAAAGGGACTTTGCAGATGTGATTAAGCATCTTGAGATGGGAACTTATCCTATGTTGCCTGTGGGCCCAGTGTCCCATCACACTGCTTTTTTTTTTTTTTTTTGAGATGGAGTTTTTTGCTCTTGGTGCCCAGGCTGGAGTGCAATGGCACAATCTTGGCTCGCTGCAACTCCACCTCCCAAGGTTCAAGTGATTCTCTTGCCTCAGCCTTCCGAGTAGCTGGATTACAGGCGCTCGCCAACATGTCCAACTAATTTTTGTTTTTCCAGTAGAGATGGGGTTTCACCATTTTGGCCAGGCTAGTCTCGAACTCCTGACCTCGTGATCTGCCCACCTTGGCCTCCCAAAGTGCTGGGATTACAGGCTTGAGCCACCACATCCAGCCTACTGTGCTCTTTTAAGAGGGACTCAGCAGTCAGGGGAGATGGCAATGCGATGATGACTGAGTGTCTTCGTCTTTTTTGTATTGCTATGCAATATCTGAGACTGGGTAATTTATAAAGAACAGGTTTATTTCTTACAGTTCTGGAGGCTGGGAATGTCAAGATCAAGGGGCCTGCTTCTGGTGAGGGTCTTCTTGCTGTGTCATCCCATGATGGAAGGTATCACATCAAGAGAGAAAAGGGGGCTGAACTCAATCCATTTATTAGCAACCCATCCCCATGATAATTAACCCTCTGCTGAGATAACATCATTACTCTATTAATGAGGGCAGATCTTTCATGACCTAATCTCTTCTTAAAGGTCCCACCTCTCAACACTGTTGCATTGGAGATTAAATTTCCAACACATGAACTTTGGGGGACACATTCAAACCATAGCACTGTGCAGAGATTGGAGTGGTGTGCTTTAAAAATGGAGGAAAGGGCCACAATTCAGGGTATATAGGTAACCACTAAAAGCAGAAAAGGCAAGAAAACGGGTTTTCCCTTCAGAACCTCCTGAAGGAATCAGTCCTTTACAACTTGACTTTAGCCAAGGGAAACTGATTTGAGACTTCTGACCTATAGACAATAAGATATTAAGTCTGTGTTGATGTAAGCCAATCAGTTCGTGGTAATTTGTTACAGCAGCCATAGAAAACTAATTGACTCACAAATGGGAGAAATCAGCTGCTGGTTGAAGGCTACCAAACACCTACTTCCTTTCCTAACGTCACTTTAGTTTTATCTTGGAGGAATTATTTTCCCTATCCCATTAAGTCATGGGAGATGGGGCCAGGCATGGTGGCTTAGCAATCCCAGCACATTGGGAGGCTGAGGCGGGTGGATCACTTGAGGTTTGGAGTTTGAGACTAGCCTGGCCAACATAGTGAAACCCCATCTTTACTAAAAATACAAAAATTAACCAGGTGTGGTGGTTGTCACCTGTAATCCCAGCTACTCCAAAGGCTGTGGCATGAGAATTGCTTGAACCCAGGAGGCAGAGGTTGCAGTGAGCTGAGATCACACCACTGCACTCCAGCCTGGGTGACAGAGTGAGAATCCATCTCAAAAAAAAAAAATTATGGGAGAGGGTGGTAAAGCTAAGTATCTTTTGCACCTACTCCCCAGCCCCACCACTGCAGAAGCTGAAGGGGTTCCTAGAGGCGTCTTCTGCCATGCAGCTGTTCCCACTGACCCCTAGCTAGAGGTGGGTGTAGGACTTTGAAACATGAACAAATGGAGCTTGGATGGCAATGGCGGGAACAATATTGTGCTAATCTGAACTCTGCACTTCCTAACTTTGGTTCTGGGTAAATTACCTCAAATTGCTGAGCCTTTGTTTCCATATTTATAAAATGGGTGCGGTAAGAGTACCAACCTCTTTTATGCTGTCTGGAGGAGGCAGGTCCATAAGGTAACTGGCATGTGGTAAGGGATTCATGAATGTTGGCTTCTATCATTAAGGGTGTGGGAGCCACATAAGTAGCCAGAGGGAGTCATAGAAAGTTCTTGAGCCAGAGAAGTAAGATAATCTTTTCAGCTTTTTGTGCAGCATAAAAGGTGGGTAATTTGCTTGCCTTTGACCAAGCAAATTTGGGATGTGCCAGGCCTGGGGTGAATGGTGGGAACCCAAGTAGAGGGATATTTCTCTTTGACTGAATTAACTGTGACTCCGTTTTGCGGAGCAGCCAGGTTGCTTCATGGTGGACCTGCTGCATGCCTACATGATGGTGCTGTGGATAGCTCTTGTTTGTGCCAGCCCTGTACCTGATACCTCTTGTGGTAATTGCATCCCTATTTTTCAGAAGGAAGCATCCCTCCTCCCACTTTCTGGTTTTCCCCATGTCCTTCTGGAAGGGATATCCCCAACCGCTTCCTGAAGGGGCTTCATGAAAGCCAGGTCTGGCCAGGCTGGATGTGGTGATTGGCTCCGGCATGGGCATGTGGCCCAAACGGTTCCAGTGAAAGTCATTCCTGGGACTTTGGCTGGAACTATTGGGGAACAGCCTCTGCTTTCTTGGGCAGATGTGAGTTAGGAGCTGCTCAGGCCACTATGTGGAAAGAACTGCATGAGAATGAAGTAATCAAAGGGAAGCAAGCACTGAGAGATTAGAGAGACTTATCTTGTATAAATGCCTGTATCCAACTATGCCTGAAGTGAGGTACCACCCCAGGCCTTTTCAGTCATGCTATCAGTTTTGTTCCTTTTTTCTGTTTTACTCTTGGTGGAGTTATTTTTTTTTCCTTTTTACTTGAATAAGAAAAATACCAAACTAGAAGGCTGGGTGCGGTGGCTCATGCCTGTAATCCCAGTACTTTGGGAGGCCAGGGCAGGTGGATCACGAGGTCAGGAGTTTGAGATCAGCCTGACCAACATGGTGAAATCCCATCTCTATTAAAAATACAAAAAAATTAGCCGGGCATAGTGGTGTGTGCCTTTAATCCCAGCTACTCAGGAGGCTGAGACAGGAGAATCGCTTGCATCTGGGAGGCGGAGGTTGCAGTGAGCCGAGACCCTGCCACTGCACTCCAGCCTAGGTGACAGAGCAAGACTCCATCTCAAAAAAAACAAAACATCCAAAATTGACACCCTAACATCACAATTAAAAGAACTAGAAAAGCAAGAGCAAACACATTCAAAAGCTAGCAGAAGGCAAGAAATAACTAAAATCAGAGCAGAACTGAAGGAAATAGAGACATAAAAAAACCCTTCAAAAAATTAATGAATCCAGGAGCTGGTTTTTTGAAAGGATCAACAAAATAGATAGACCGCTAGCAAGACTAATAAAGAAAAAAGAGAGAAGAATCAAATAGATGCAATAAAAAATGATAAAGGGGATATCATCACCGATCCCACAGAAATACAAACTATCATCAGAGAATACTACAAACACCTCTATGCAAATAAACTAGAAAATCTAGAAGAAATGGATAAATTCCTCGACACATACACTCTCCCAAGACTAAACCAGAATGAAGTTGAATCTCTGAATAGACCAATAACAGGAGCTGAAATTGTGGCAATAATCAATAGCTTACCAACCAAAAAGAGTCCAGGACCAGATGGATTCACAGCCGAATTCTACTAGAGGTATAAGGAGGAACTGGTACCATTCCTTCTGAAACTATTCCAATCAATAGAAAAAGAGGGAGTCTTCCCTAACTCATTTTATGAGGCCAGTGTCATTCTCATACCAAAGCTGGGCAGAGACACAACCAAAAAAGATAATTTTAGACCAACATCCTTGATGAACATTGATGCAAAAATCCTCAATAAAATACTGGCAAACCGAATCCAGCAGCACATCAAAAAGCTTATCCACCATGATCAGGTGGGCTTCATCCCTGGGATGCAAGCCTGGTTCAACATATGCGAATCAATAAATGTAATCCAGCTTATAAACAGAACCAAAGACGAAAACCACATGATTATCTCAATAGATGCAGAAAAGGCATTTGACAAAATTCAACAACACTTCATGCTAAAAAGTCTCAATAAATTATGTATTGATGGGAAGTATTTCAAAATAATAAGAGCTATCTATGACAAACCCACAGCCAATATCATACTGAATGGGCAAAACTGGAAGCATTCCCTTTGAAAACTGGCACAAGACAGGGATGCCTTCTCTCACCACTCCTATTCAACATAGTGTTGGAAGTTCTGGCCAGGGCAATTAGGCAGGAGAAGGAAATAAAGGGTATTCAATTAGGAAAAGAGGAAGTCAAATTATCCCTGTTTGCAGATGACATGATTGTATATCTAGAAAACCCCATCATCTCAGCCCAAAATCTCCTTAAGCTGATAAGCAACTTCAGCAAAGTCTCAGGATACAAAATCAATGTACAAAAATTTCAAGCATTCTTATACACCAACAACAGACAAACAGAGAGCCAAATCATGAGGGAACTCCCATTCACAATTGCTTCAAAGAGAATAAAATACCTAGGAATCCAACTCACAAGGGATGTGAAGGACCTCTTCAAGGAGAACTACAATCCACTGCTCAAGGAAATAAAAGAGGATACAAACAAATGGAAGAACATTCCATGCTCATGGGTAAGAAGAATCAATATCATGAAAATGGCCATACTGCCCAAGGTAATTTATAGATTCAATGCCATCCCCATCAAGCTACCAATGACTTTCTTCATAGAATTGGAAAAACTACTTTAAAGTTCTTATGGAACCAAAAAAGAGCCCGCATCGCCAAGTCAATCCTAAGCCAAAAGAACAAAGCCGGAGGCATAACACTACCTGACTTGAAACTATACTACAAGAATACAGTAACCAAAACAGCATGGCACTGGTACCAAAACAGAGATATAGATCAATGGAACAGAACAGAGCCCTCAGAAATAATGCCACATATCTACAACTATCTGATCTTTGACAAACCTGAGAAAAACAAGCAATGGGGAAAGGACTCCCTATTTAATAAATGGTGCTGGGAAAACTGGCTGGCCATACGTAGAAAGCTGAAACTGGATCCCTTCCTTACACCTTATACAAAAATCAATTCAAGATGGATTAAAGACTTAAACGTTAGACCTAAAACCATAAAAACCCTAGAAGAAAACCTAGGCATTACCATTCAGGACATAGGCATGGGCAAGGACTTCATGTCTAAAACACCAAAAGCAATGGCAACAAAAGCCAAAATTGACAAATGGGATCTAATTAAACTAAAGAGCTTCTGCACAGCAAAAGAAACTACCATCAGAGTGAACAGGCAACCTACAAAATGGGAGAAAATTTTCACAATCTACTCATCTGACAAAGGGCTAATATCCAGAATCTACAATGAACTCCAATAAATTTACAAGAAAAAAACAAACAAACCCATCAAAAAGTGGGCGAAGGACATGAACAGACACTTCTCAAAAGAAGACATTTATGCAGCCAAAAAACACATGAAAAAATGTTCATCATCACTGGCCATCAGAGAAATCAAATCAAAACCACAATGAGATACCATCTCACACCAGTTAGAATGGCGATCATTAAAAAGTCAGGAAACAACAGGTGCTGGAGAGGATGTGGAGAAATAGGAACACTTTTACACTGTTGGTGGGACTGTAAACTAGTTCAACCATTGTGGAAGTCAGTGTGGCAATTCCTCAGGGATCTAGAAGTAGAAATACCATTTGACCGAGCCATCCCATTACTGGGTATATACCCAAAGGATTATAAATCATGCTGCTATAAAGACACATGCACACGTATGTTTATTGTGGCATTATTCACAATAGCAAAGACTTGGAACCAACCGAAAAGTCCAACAATGATAGACTGGATTAAGAAAATGTGGCACATATACACCATGAAATACTATGCAGCCATAAAAAATGATGAGTTCACGTCCTTTGTAGGGACATGGATGAAATTGGAAATCATCATTCTCAGTAAACCATGGCAAGAACAAAAAACCAAACACCGCACATTCTCACTCATAGGTGGGAATTGAACAATGAGATCACGTGGACACAGGAAGGGGAACATCACACTCTGGGGACTGTTGTGGGGTGGGGGGAGGGGTGAGGGATAGTACTGGGAGATATACCTAATGCTAGATGACGAGTTAGTGGGTGCAGCGCACCAGCATGGCACATATATACATATGTAACTAACCTGCACAATGTGCATATGTACCCCAAAACTTAAAGTATAATAGTAATAAAAAATTAAATTAAATTAAATTAAAAAAACATAAAAAAAGACTAGTAAATGCACCCATTTACAAATTCCAAGAGACTCTTGAAGATTCTTTTTGTTAGTAGGGAAAACATTCTCCATTTTTCTGCCAACTTTAGGGTTTTCAGAGAAGGTTGGCAGAGAGAAAGGAAAGTAAAGATGTGGGAAGAAAGAGTCCTTGCAGCCCCAAGTTGGGCGAACTCCTCCCACCTACTTATACCACAGGGTTTTGGGAGCAGAGCCCCTTTTATTAAACTTTTTAGGAGTCTTGGATGGATAGGGTGGGAATTACACCAGTGAAACTCATCTTTGTGTGTGCCAGGCATTGTGCCCTGGGATATGCAGTCATGTGTTGTATAATGACATTTTAGTCAATGACAAACCACATGTAAGTCAGTGGACCATAAGACGATTATGGAGCTGAAAAATTCCTATTGCTTAGTGACATAGCCATTGTATGTTAGGGTAATGCATTTGTGTGTTTCTGGTGATGCTGGTGTAAACAAATCTGTGCTGCCAGTTCTATAAAAGCCTAGCATGTACAATTACATACAATATGTAATACTTGATAATGAACAACTATGTTACTGGTTTATTTTTTTGAGACAGAGTCTTGTTCTGTCGCACAGCCTGGAGTGCAGTGGCGCGATCTTGGCTCACTGCAACTTCTGCCTCACAGGTTGAAGCGATTCTTCTGCCTCAGCCTCCTGAGTAGCAGGGAATACAGGCACCCACGACCACAGCCAGCTAATCTTTGTATTTTTAGCAGAGATGGGGTTTCACCACACTGCCCAGGCTGGTCTCAAACTCCTGACCTCAAATGATCTGCCCTCCTCAGCCTCCTGAAGTGCTGGGATTACCCACATGAGACACTGTGCCCAGCCCTGGTGTATTTAGTGTTTTTCATAATTTTAGAATGTATGTTTTCTACTTACATTAAAAAATAGTTAACTATAAAACAGCCTCAGGCAGGTCCTTCAGGAAGTGTTCTGGAAGAAGAAGGCATTGTTATCACAGGAGATGACAGCTCCATGCGTGTAATTGCCCAGGCTGGAGTGCAGTGGCACGATCTCGGCTCACTGCAAACTCCGCCTCCTGGGTTCAAGCGATTCTCCTCCGTCAGTCTCCTGAGTAGCTGGGATTACAGGTGCACACCACCATGCCTGGCTAAGTTTTGTATTTTTAGTAGAGATGAGGGTTTCACCACATTGGCGAGGATGGTCTCGAACTCCTGACCTCAAATGATCTGCCTGCCTTGGCCTCCCAAAGTGCTGGGATTACAGGTGTGAGACAACACGACTGGCAAAATATTTTAAGATACATTTCAGTAAGCTAAGGTTAATTTATTGAAGAAAAGCCTTAAAAAATTTTGGTGTAGCCTAAGCATATGGTGTTTATAAAGTCTACAGTAGTGTACAGTAAGGTCCTATGCCTTCACACTCACTGACTCACCACAGCATCTTCCAGTCCTGCAAGCTCCTTTCATGGTAAGTGCCCTATACAGGAGTACCATTTTAAAATATCTTATACTCTATTCTTACTGTACCTTCTCTATGTTCAGGTACACAAGTACTTACATTGTGTTACAACTGCTTATGGTATATTCAGTAAAGTATCAGGCTGTACAGGTATGTAGCCTAGGAGCAATAGGCTACGCCATACAGCCTAGGTGTTTATAGGCTATACAAGGCTATACAAGGTTTGTGTAAATGCACTTTGCTGTTTGCACAATGCTGCAATCACCTAAGGAGGCATTTCTCAGAACCATCCCGTGATTAAGAGAGGCATGATCGTACAGTCATCATCTCCCTGAAAGCTCAGTCAACCCTGTGCAGTGCTACTGCCACACTCCCCTTTTGCACATGTAGAAATGAAGGATCTTTGGCTCCTCTGAGTGACTTGTTCAAGGTTTCTCAGTTTCCAAGAGATGGAGGCAGGACTTGAATTGAGATTTCCCTATCTTGAGAACCTGTGGTCCTTAACCATTAAAACCACTTAAGAGGTCTTCTCTCTTGATCACTACCTACTAAGTGCTAGGCGCGGTGCTGAGGCGTTCTCTTGATTATCATATTGAGTCTTTAGATTTAGGAGAAACAGGCCGAGTGCACTGGCTCATGCCTGTAATCTCAGCACTTTGGGAAGCCGAGGCAGGAGGATCACGAGGTCAGGAGATGGAGACCATCCTGGCTAACACGGTGAAGCCCCACCTCTACTAAAAATACAAAAATTAGCAGGCGGTGGCGGGCACCTGTAGTCTCAGCTGCTCGGGAGGCTGAGGCAGAAGAATGGCATGAACCCGGGAGGCGGAGCTTGCAGTGAGCCGAGATCGCGCCACAGCACTCCAGCCTGGGTGACAGAGCGAGACTGTCTCAAAAAAAAAAAAAAAAAAAGATTTAGGAGAAACAAGTCCCGAAGCCCTGACCATAACACGCAAGGGTTAGTGGAGTTGTGGGACTTGAACTCAGCTTCTCCGTTGAGTCTGTCTGTCTCTGGGATGCAGGCACGTGCTTGCACACTTCCACGGTGGCGATCCCGCCCCCTTAGTAGCGTCCTTAGCTCGGCACTTCTTGCAGGGAAGTTCCTGTTGGCCCAGACCCTCGTCCTAGGCTCCGCGTTGTGGGGGAAGCGAAAGGGGCAGTGTGGGGAAGTGGCCGAGGGGTCCGGTCCGGGGTGGTCTGCAGAGATGCAGGCGGCAGTTCGGAGCCGGGAACCACGCGTTCACCCGCCAAGTCGGACAGGCCTGGCGGGGTGGGCGAGACACTGGGAACAGCAGCCAGCTCCAGAGGGCGCGAGGCGGGGTGCGCGGGGAGCGGGGGGGCGCACGCGGTTGGGGGGCAGTGAGGGTCGCCGCGGCGGCACGCAGCACGGCGGGAACATGGCGCATGGAACTGGTGCACGCGCCTAGTTGGCGGGACCATTAGCTCGAGGCGGACGCGGCCCGGACCCCGTGGATATGGGGCAGTCGCCGCCTCCGGCGCCCGAGCCGACCCAAGGGCCGACCCCCGCAAGGAGCTGAAGGCAGCGGGAGCCCGAGTCGCCGCCGACGTCGGCGCCGGTGAGTGCTTGAGGGGCTCGGGCCAGGAGACTTTCTTTGTGAAACTCCGGCGGTGGGAGCCGGGCCAGGCCTCAGCGGCTGAGGAGTGCCTGTGAGGCAGAAGGCGTCTCGCAGTCCGGGTTCGATCCCAGCTGCGAGCCGTCAGGCGGCAGGACCTGGTCTGCTGCCTGCCTGCCTCAGTTTCCACGGGAGTGTGTGTGGGTGTGTGTGGGTGTGTGAGGGTGTGTATGGGTGTTGGCCTGCGCACACCGGAGGGGGGGTCGGTATACAGTCGGCGCCTAATGCGCGCAGCGCCTCCCCCCTCCCCCCAGTCCCCGTGGGGCAGAACCTGGGGACTGGAGTCCACCAGAGCAGTAGGCGGCACCTGCGGGGAGACAGGTGTCGGCGCAGCCTCGGAGGCTCAGGTGCTACTTTTCCCGGGTGGGGTTTGTGAGGGGTGAGCTCTTCGTCCCCGGAGGCGAGCAAGTCTGTCAGTGGCTCATCACAGAGAGCTGTTTTGGAAAGCGTTCCACCCACCTCAGCTTCGTGCTGTGTTTGGGCCACTAGTCAGGGGGAAGGATGCTGAGCGACATGGACTTTAGAGGTGGGGCTCCCGCTGGACAGAATGGCTCTGGGCTCTCCAGCTTACCCCTACCCTTGCCTCCCAAACCCGTTAGAGTGTAGGAATCATTGGGAGCACCTGATAAAAATGCCACGGATTGTGGCTCACCAAAGCAGGGAAGCCGATTTGGAACTTAAGCTCCCAAGTTGTGATCAGTCGAGCTTGGCAAGCACTGTTTTAGAGAGTAGGCTTCCTGCATGCAAGAGCCGGTTTTGTGTATACCTCACCATGGCATCTTGGTACCTGGCATGGTGCCTGGCACACGGTAGATGATCATAAAATATCTGTAGAAAGTCTAAATTATTAGGGAGAGTGCAGCATAGGAGTTCTTGAGACATTTTCAGGAGCTTCTTGAGACTAATATCTGTCAGGTTTGTTTTACAGTATATGATTTTTCTCAGCTCCCAACTTTTGTGATTGTTTTTAATGCCATGTTTTCAGTATGTTCTAGGCAAAAGCAGGGTATATGTTGCTTAGTATACACTATCCACTAGGCCGGTTGAGGTGGCTCACTCCTGTAATCTCAGCACTTTGGGAGGCAGATTGCTTGAGGCCAGGGGCTTGAGGCTGTAGTGAGCCAAGGAGTTAGAGGCCAGTGTGGGAAATATAGCGAGGCTCGTCTCCGCAAAAATTAGCTGAGTGTGGTAGCGTGCATTTGCAGTCCCAGCTACTCTGGAGGCTGTGGTGGGAGGATCGCTTGAGCTCAGGAAGTACAAGTTGCAGTGAGCCAAAGTTGTGCCACTGCATTCCAGCCTGGATAACACAGCGAAACCCAGTCTCTTAAATAAGTAAATAAATACATAAATGATTATGTATACTCCAGCTAGGTTAAAATTAATTCTGAATCAAAATTCTAAATTAAAATATGCATGTTTCTTTCTCTTCATCATTTGAGAACACTAGGCTTTTAGGATTTCATTCCGTTGGGGCACGTAAATATCTACATTTTTGACAAAGCAAATATGAATTACTGTTAATTCAAGAAAGGTGGGAATTTGCTTAAACCTGAGTATTTGTAGTCTTTGTGATTTTTTTAAACTTTAAATATAAGTTTTCTTTTTTTTTCTTTTTTTTTTTGAGATGGAGTCTCACTCTGTCATCCAGGCTGTAGTGCAGTAGCACAATCTCAGGTCACTACAACCTCCACCTCCCGAATTCAAGCAATTCCCCAGCCTCAGCCACTGGTGTAGCTGGCATTACAAGTGTGTGCCACCACGCCCAGCTAATTTATGTATTTTTAGTAGAGAGGAGGTTTCTCTGTGTTGCCCAGGCTGGTCCCAAACTCCTTGACCTCAAGTGATCTGCCCACCTTGGCCTCCCAAAGTGCTGGGATTACAGGCGTGAGCCACGGCACCTGGCCTTATTTTTATTTTTTTGAGACAGAGTCTCAGTCTGTCGCCCAGGTTGGAGTGCTGTGGCATGATCTCCACTCACTGCAACCTCCACCTCCCAGATTCCAGCGATTCTAATGCCTCAGCCTCCTGAGTAGCTGGGGTTACTAGACCCGGCTAATTTTTGTTGTATTTTTTTAGTAGAGACTGGGTTTCCCTATGTTGGCCAGGCTGCTCTGGAACTCCTGGCCTCTAGTGATCCACCTGCCTTGTCCTCCCAAAGTGCTGGAATTACAGGCATGAGCCACTGCCCCTAGCCAATCTTTGTGATATTTTGAAATTGAGGTTTATATTTTGTTCAGAGTCAAAGCTAAAATAGAATTGTTTGAAAATTAATATTTCAGGAACTATTTTTTAATTAAGTTGAATTTTATTTTATTAGTTTCATTTCAGTAGGGTTTTAACTTAAAAAAATATATGTGTATATATATACATATATGTGTATATATATATATGTATATATATACACATATATATATATACACATATATATATACGTATATATATATATATACGTATATATATATATATATATTTTTTTTTTCCTGAGATGGAGTCTTGCTCTGTCACCCAGGCTGGAGTGCAATGGCATGATCTTGGCCTCACTGCAGCCTCCACCCTCCCGGCTCAAGCAATTCTCCTGCCTTAGCCTCCCAAGTAGCTGTGACTACAGGTGCCCACCACCACACCTGGCTAATTTTTATATTTTTAGTAGAGATGGGGTTTCACCATGTTATCCAGGCTGGTTTTGAACTCCTGATCTCAAATGATCTGCCCTCCTTGGCCTCCCAAAGTGCTGGGATTACAGGCATGAGCCACAGTGCCTGGCCTAAAAAATATTTTTAAAGACAGGATCTAGCTATGTTGCCTCAGCTTGTCTTGAACTCCCAGTCTTGGCCTCAAGTGATCCTTCTGCCTCGGCATTCAGAGTAGCTGGAAGCACAGCTGTGAGCCAGCACACCTGGTTTTTTTTTATTTCTAATAAAAAATTAATAGAGTTTCTTGTTTCACTGGACAAAATATGCATATATAGGAAGGAAAGACTTTTGGACTTGAGATTGTGCTGAAGAAGAAAAATGGAAAAATTAAGCATTTTAGTCTCTCAGTGTGTTATTTTTGTAGCTTATACAGATATGTCTTTTTAAAGTGTCTTTAAAAGCTTTATTGAGATAAAGATAAATGAGCTAAATTCACCTACCATGAAATCAACCCCTTGAGTGCAGAATTTTGTGGTTTATAATATGTTCACAGAATCACACAAACAAGACAGGTATCTAGATACTTTCAGACCATTTTCATCAGTCCACAAGAAACCTCATACCCATTAGCAGTCATCCTTGTTCCCTTTTCCCCTAGTCCCTGGCAATAACTAGCCTACTTTCTGTCTCTGAGTTTAGCTCTTCTGGAGGTTTCACAGAATGAAATCTTACTACATATGGTCTTTTGTGATTGACTTATTTCACTTGGCACAGTGTTTTCAAGGTTTATCCATGCTGTAGCGTATATCAGCACTTCATTTTTTTAATGCTGAGTAATCTTTTGAATGGATGTACCATATTTTATCAGTTCCTCTGTTGATAAGCACTTGAGCTTTTTTTCCAATTTTTGGCTATTATGCACAATGCTGCTGTGAACATTTGTGTACAAATTTTAGTGTGGATGTATATTTTCATTTCCCTTGGTTGTATCACTAAGGAATACACTATCTGGGTCATATGATAATTGTTTAAAACTACAGGCACGTGCCACCACACCTGGCAAATATTTAAAATTTTTTTTGTAGATAAAGGGTCTCACTATGTTGCCCAGGCTGACCTTGAACTCCTGGCCTCAAAAGATCCTCTCACCTCAGCCTCCCAGAAAGTGTTGGGATTACAGTTGTGAGTCACTGCACCTATAAAAGAGGCTCATACCTCTTTTTACGTATTTTTTTTTTTTGAGACAGTGTTTCACTCTGTTGCCCAGGCTGGAGTGCAGTGGTGGGATCACAACTCAATGCAGCCTGGACCTCACTCCATATGATTCTAGTTGTGGGTGTCTTTCCTGTAGTTTTTATTATGTTGTGGTATGTTTCTTCTGTACCTGTTTCTTTAAGGATTAATAGCATGAAGGGATGTTGAATTTTATCAAATACTTTTTCAGTTTCAGTTGACATGATCATACTGTTTTTGTCATTTATTTGGTTGATATGATGTATCACATTGTATGTTAAGTGACCCATGCATCCCAGGGATACATCCCATTTGATCATGATGAATTATCTTTTTAATGTATTACTGAATTTGATTCACTGGTATTTTGTTGAGGATTTTTGCATCAATATTAGAGATACTGGCCTGTAGTTTCCTTCTTTGATGCCTTTGTCTGATTTTGGTATCAAAGTAATAATGGTCTCATAGAATAAGTTTGGAAGTATTCCCTCCTGTTTTTCAAAATAGTTGCAGTAGGATTCGTACTAGGTCTTTAAACTGTTTGGTGTGAAGCCATCAGCAGTGAAGACATCAGTTCCTGGGCTTTTCTTTACTGGGAGACTTTTTCTGATGGCTTCAATCTCATTACTTGTTACCGATCTGTTCTGGTCTTGGATGTTTTCATTGTTCAACCTAAGTAGGTTGTATGCATCTAGGAATTTGCCAATTTCTACTAGGCTTTCCAATTTATTGGCATATAATAGCCAGTTATGATCCTTTGAATTTCTGAACTATTAGTTGTAATGTCTCTTTTTTATCTGTTGATTTTATTTATTTGAATCTTGTCTCTTTTTTCTTAGTTAGCCTGGTTAAAAGTTTGTCAATTTTGTTTTGCTTTCCAGAAAACCAACTTTTCATTTAATCTTGTGTGTTTTTTCTTTCAATTTTATTTCTGCTACGATCTTATTTATTTTCTTATTTTCGGTTTAGTTTGTTCTTATTTTACTAGTTCTTTAAGATGTATTGTTTACTTGAAGTTTTTCTTTTGTTTGGATGGTATGCACTTATAGCTGTAAATCTCCGCCTTTGTACTGCTTTCTGCGTAACAAGTTTTGGTATACTGTGTTTTCTTTACCCTTTGTTTCATGAAATTTTTGAATTTCTGTCTTAATATCTTCATTGACCCGCTAGTCATTTATTCAGGAGGGTAGTGTTTAACTTCCATGTGATTGTATTGTTTCCAAAATTACTCTTCTTATTGATACCTAGTTTTATTCCTTTGTAGTCAAAGAAGATGGCCACAGAGACAGCAGCGTGGTCAGAGTGGTAGGAGCCAGCCATCGGCGAGAGCTGCTTCGTGCCTGGCCTGCTGGGTGCTAGAGCCTGTGGCCCACTGGCTTGCCTCACTGTGGTTGGTGGTGGCAGTGACAGAGACTGCAGCACGACCAGAGTGGTAGGACAGGGGCTATCCAGGGCTGCACCTTTCGCAGTGTGGGGTGGGTTGGGGGCGCTATCCAGGGTGTCATTGCCTGCATTATGGCTACTGGTTGGTAGCACTGTACAGGGCTGCACTGCCTATGGCAGGGAGGGTGGGTTATGGGCACTTTCTGGGGCTGCAATGCCCATAGAGTAGGACAGGTTAGGGCACTATTGGGTATACGCTATTTGTGGCATTGGGGGACGGAGGTGGGGGGCGCTATTGAGGGCAGGACTAGCCGTGAAGGGCGGGCGAGTTCGTTGCTATCAGGGACTGCACTGCTGGCGGCGGTCAGCAGAGTTGGCATCCAAGGAAGGAGTGGTTCTCCTCTCCCTGACTCCACACTCCAGAGGGCGACCAACTCTTGGTCATACTGGAGTGTGGCAGGCGTGCAGTGTTTGCGTGGGAATCCTGAGCATGACAGAGCCCCCACACCCACCATGGTTCCTGGGCCTGTGCACTCTGGGTCTGTGCCTCAGAGGCTGCCAGGCACCCCTGGAGACACCATGGGGGACAGGGCCCTGTGTGTGGAGGCATCCGGAACAGGAATTGGCACCTGGGTGCGGAGGGCTGGCTGGGTGTGAATTTTTCTGCTTCTCCTGCTCCCTGAGGAGTGCAGCCCTGGTGGGCCCAATGGTTCCTGTGGAGTGGGGAGCTGGGTGCTGTGGTGTCTCCAGCACCCACCCCAGACCCCAGTTCCCGGAGAGCTTGGGCCAAAAGGAGAGGCTGGACTTTGGAGGGTGGGTGTGAGTGCCTTTGTTGAAACTGGCCCCTGCCACCCAGTGGCCAGCATGACAAGTTGAGGCTCTAACCCTTCCACCCCTCACATCTTCCTCTAGGCTTTTCTGGCTTTGCCCGCCCAGCTGCTCCATGCCAGGAGGAGGAGGAGACACCTAGAGCCTGCGACACCACGACTCGCCTCGCTGCGGGAGGGTGGCAGCGATGGAGACTGCAGTGCGCCAGAGCGGTAGGAGAGCGGTCGTGCTAGGAGGGCAGGCGGCTGCAGCCAGGGTTGGGGATCAGGCTTACAGTGATGGACGAGCTGCAACAGTGGCCAGGTGGTAGGAGCCTTGTAGGGAGGGCTGGTGCATTGGCAATGGGCCTGGCTTTGTCCTTTCTTGCGCTGTAACTGCCCTACTGTTACCTGGACTGTCTTGGCCCTGTCCTGCTCTGGTCCCATCCTGACCCTGTCTTGGCCCTGTGCTACCGTGTCCCTGCCCTGGTCTTGCCCTGGCAGTGGCCCTGCCCTGAACCTGCACTGGCCTGACCTTGGCTCTGGCCCTGGCTCTGGCCCTGCCCCTTGTCCTGACCCTGGTCATGTCATGGCACTGGCCCTGCCAGTGGTCATGGTCCTACTCCTGTTCTGGCCCTGACCTGGTCTTGGACATGTCCTGGTCTTGCTTTGGCCCATCCCTGCCCTGGCCCCACCATAGGCCTGCCTGTTCTGCCCTCTCCTGGCACTGACCTTGCCCTGTCATGGCCCAGTGGTGCCATTGCCCTGCCTTACGCTGCGATGGTTGTGCCTTGGCCCCGCTTGGTGCTGGCCGCTCCCTGGACCTGCCCAGACCCTGCCTCGACTTTTGCCCTGCCCTCACTTTGGCCTGGCCCTGGCCCTAGCCCTGGTCCTGCCATATCCCTGGCCCTGCCCTTATCCAGGCCCTGCCCCTGCTGCTGCCCTGGCCCTGGCCTGGAACCTGGTCCTGTCAAGGACCTGCCCTGACTCTGCCATGGCCCTGGCCCTGCTCTGCCTTGTTCCTGGCCCTGACCCTTTCCTGGCTCTGCACTGGCCTTTCCCTGGCCCTGAGCTGGCAGTGGTCTGCCCCTGGTCTTGCCATCACCCTGCCCTGCTGTTCTCTGCATGTGTCATCACCCTGCCCTGGCCCTACTCTGTCTTTGACCCTGCCCTGGCCTTACCTTGGCCCTCACCCTAGTCTTCACTAGGCCCTGCTCTGGAGCTGGCCCTAGCACAGACCTGGCCCTGACCCTGGCCCTGGTCTTTGTCCTGCCATAGCTCTGGCCCTGAAGTGGACTTGGAGGTGTCCTGGCCCCGGCATAACATGGCTCTGCATTGGCCTGTCCCTGCCCTGCCCCTACCATCGCCTTGCCCTGCTCTGCCCTGTCCCAGTACTGACCCGGCCATGTAATTTCCCTGCCCTACCCTGCCTTGGCTGTGCCCTGGCTCAGTTCTGGCCCTGGCCCCAGCCCTGCCCCGGACATGCTCTGACTCTGTCTCAGCCTTGGCACTAGCCTGGCTCTTTCTTGGCATCAGCCCTGCTCTCTGTGGACCGGCTCTTGTCCTGTCCTGCACTGGCCATACCATGCCCTGCCCTGCCCTGCCCTGACTCAGCCCTGGCCCAGCCCTGGCCCAGCCTTGGCCTTGGCATTACCCCTGGTCATGCCATATTTCTTGCCCTGTCCCTACCCTGGCCTTGGCCCTGACCCATACCTTGCTCTGGCCCTGCCCTTGCCCTAACGCAGCCCCTGGCCCTGTCATGGCCCTGCCCTGGACCTGTCCTGGCCCTGGCCCTTCCCTGCTTGAGACAATGCCCTGGTTCTCCCCTGGCCCTGACCCTGAAATGCCTGGCCCTACCCTGGCCTTGCACTGCTCTGGCCCTTGCCCTGACTCTGGTCCTGTCACTGGCCTAGCCCCAGCCCTGTTGCTGGTCTTACCATGCCCCTGACCCTGCCTTGGCCCTGCCCTGACACTGTCCTGGACCCTGGCTGTGCCAAGATCCTGCACTGTCCTTGTCCTTGTTTTGCTCCTGCCCCAAACCTGGTCCTGCCCAGGCCCTGGCCCTGGCCCTGCCCTGGCTGTTCCCTGGCCCTGCCCAGGTCTTGGCACTGGCCTGGCCCTTCCCTGCCTTGGCCCTATGCTTTCCTGGCCCTGCCTTGCCGGCCCTGGTCCTGCCTTGGCCCTAGCCTGGCTTTGACCCTGCCCTGGCCCTACCTTGGCCTTCACCCTAGCCTTACCTGGGCACTGTGTTGGACCTGGCCATAGCACAGACCTGGTTGTGGCCCTGGCCCTGCCATGGCCCTGTCCCAGACCCTAGCCCTGCCAGGTACCTGTCCTGGCCCTGCTCTGGGCCTGGCTTTGTCCCTGGTTCTTAGATGACCCTGGCCCTGTCCCTGCCCTTGTCCTTGCCCTGGCACTGGCCTTGGACATATCCGTGGTCCTAACCCTGGCCCTGCCCTGGAGCTGCCACTGTCTTTGCCCTGCCCTGGCTCTGGCCCTGCCCCAGCCCTTGCCCTGCCCCGGCCCCAGCCATAGACCTGCCCTGGTTGGTCGTGCCCTACCTTAACCCTGTTCTACCCTGGGCCTGCTCCACCCTGCCCTTGCCCTGCCCTCCGTTTGGCCCTGCCCTGATCCCACCTTGGCCCTCACACTGGCCCTAGCACAGAACTGGTCCTATCTGTGGTTTGGCCTGGCATTGACCCCTGCTCCTGACCCTGGTCCTGCCATGGCCCTGGCCCTGCCAATGACCCTGACAGCCCTGGCCCTGGCCCTGTCTTAGTCCTGGCCCTGAACTGGCCCTGCCCTGACCCTGGCCCTGAAGTGGATTTGCAGGTGTCTTGTCCCTGATTTAACCTGGCCCTACCATGGCCCTGTCCCTCCCCTGGCTCTGTCCTGGTCTTGTGCTGACCCTGACCCAGACCTTGGCCCTGCCCCAGCCTTGTCCTTGGCCTGGCCATGGCCCTGCCTCTGCCCTGGACCGGTGCTGGCACTGGCATGGACCCTGGCCCTGGCCCTTCACTACTTAAGGCCATACCCTGACCCAGCCCTGGTCCTCACCCTGTCCTGGCCCTAATTTGGCCTGGCTCTACCCTGGCATGCTATTCTGGCCCTAGCCCTGACCCTGTCCCTGTCCCTGTCCCTGTCCTGGCCCTAGCCTGGTTGCTGGTTCGGCCATGGCTCTTATCCTGACATTGCCCTTTCCTGGTCCTGGCCCTGGCGCTGTCACAGCCCTGCTCTGGCCCTGGTCTCAACCCTGGCCCTGCAATGGACCCTCCTTGGTCCTGCCCAGACCCTGGTTCTGGCCCTACCTCTGTCCTGGCCATACCCTTGCCCTGGCCTGGACCCCGGTCCTGGTCCTTGTCCTGCCCCAGGCGTGGCCCTGGCCCTGCCCTGCCTGTGCCCTGTTCTATCCTGGGCTGGCCCTGCCATGGCCTGGTCTTGCCATTGCCCTGCCCTAACCTGCCCTGCTTGTGCCCTAGATCTGCCCCGGCCTTTGCCCTGTCTTTGTTCCAGCCTTGACTCAGCCCTGGACATTCCCTGACCTTGCCTCAGCCCTGGCACTACACTGGCCTTGCCTTGGCATTTGCCCTACTCTCTCTATGGCCTGGCTCTGGTCCTGCCCTGCTCTGCTCTTGTTCTGTCCTGACACAGCCCTGGCCCTGGCCCTGGCCCTGGCCCTGCCATATCACTGGCTCTCGTCCAGCCCTTATGCAGGCCTGACCCTGCCCCTGCCTTCGCTTTGGCCTGGACCTAGGCCATACAGTGACCCTGCCATGACCCTTTCCTGGCCCTGGCCTGGAACCTGGACCTGCCAAGGACTCGCCCTGGCTCTGTCATGTCCCTGGCCTTTTCCTGGATTTGGATGTGTCGTGTCCCTTATTTGCCCCGACCCTTCCCTGGCTCTGCCATACCCCTTCTCTGGGGTAGGGCCAGGGTCAGGACCAGGGTAGGGCCATGGTAAGGCCTGAAGATGGGAAGGGCCAGGGCAGCGGCAGGACCAGGGAAGGGTCAGGGCCAGGGATGTGGTAGGACTAGGGGCGGAGCCGGCACTAGGGCTGAGCCGGGCAGAGCAGGGGAGCTTACATTAGGCTATTACGTAAAATTTTTATTTTTGATTTTTAAGATAACTATAGTAGTGGTAATAATGTCTCTACTATGTTGTTTGTAATAGTAATAATATTTACAGTAAATAATCACTAAATTTTAACTAATACTATCTCTGCTTCCAGTACTGTTCTATGAGTATAATTTTATCAATATGTAAATATGTGAGGCATTGATTCTCACAATAATTCTATGTGCTAGGTACTTAAAGCATCCCCATTTTCCAAATGTAGGAAACAGCCATAAAGAAGTTAAATACTTGGCCAGATTACTCCTGTAATCCCAGCACTTTGGGAGGCCAAGGCAGGCAGATGGCTTGAGCTCAGGAGTTTGGAACCAGCCTGGGCAACATTGTGAAACCCCATCTCTACTAAAAATGCACAAAAAGAGCTGATTTAAGTTTCTTGTAGGATTCTGGTTATAAAACACTGGTCAAACACATAGGGCATGGATAGGGCAGGGCCAGGGACAAGGTCAGGTCAGGAAGGGGCCAGGGCCAAGGCAGGGCTAGAGCTGGACTTGGAGGTGTCCTGGTCTGATTTGCCCTGCCTCTACATTGGCCCAGCCCTGGTCTGGCACTTCCTGTCATGCCCTGTCCCTGGCCTGAGCATTGACTCTGGCCCTGTCCTGCTTCTGGCCCTGCCCCGGAGTTGACCAGACACTGCCATGGCCCAGCCCTGCATTGCCCTGCCCTCCCCTGCCCTGGTGCTGCCATGGCCCTGCTTGGGCCGTAGCTCTGCCTCAATTCTGAACCCGCCCTGACTCTGCTCAGCTCTGGATCTACCCTGACTCTGCCTTGGAGTTGCCCTCCCATCTCTATGGCCTGGCTCTGGCCCTGCCTTGCACAGGCCATGCTCTGCCCTGTGTGTCCCAGCCAGGGCCCAGCCCTTGCCCTACCATATTCCTGACCCCAGTCGTACCCTTGTTCTGGCCTTGACCCTGCTGTGGCACTCTCCTGGCCCTTCCTTGGTCCTGCCCTGCCCTTCCATGCCCTGGCCTTGCCCTCACCCTGCACTGGTCCTGCCCTGCCCTGGCAGTGCCTTGACCCCGGCCCTGCCTTCTCCCTGGCCTTGCCCTTTCCCTGCCCTGGCCTGACCCCAGGCCTATCGAGTCCATGAAATGACCTTGGACCTGCCTTGCCATCATCTGTCTTGGCCCTGTATTGTCCCCACCATTCTCTGGTCCAGCGCTTACCCTGGCCCTGTTGCTAGTTTTGCCACTGCTATGGCCCTGCCTTGTTTTTGGCCATGCCCTGTGCTATCTTAGCCCTGCCCCGCCTTGGCCTTGGCCCTACCATGGCCTTTTCCTACCCTGGCCTGGCTGTACACTGGCCTTTTCTACCCTGGCCTTGCCCTTCCCTGGTCTTGCCCTGCCCTGGCCTTGCCCTGCCCTGGCCTCGGCTTTGCCTTATCCTGGTCCTGGTTCTGCCCTGGCCCTGCTGTTTCTCTAGATCCTCTCTGGTTCTGCCTTCTCCCTGGCCCTGTCCTTGCTCTGGCCCTGTCCCTGGCTCAGCCTTGACCCTGGCCCTGGCCCTGACAATCCCTAGGACCCACACTGGCCATGCTTGTCCCTGGCCCCTCCTTTGGCCCTGCCCTGGCCCTGTGCTATCTTAGTACAGGGCCTTGGCCTTGGCCCTGTGCTATCTTAGTCCTGCCCTGGCCCTGAACTCACCCTGGCCCTACCCTCACCCTACACTGGCCCTGCCCTACCATGGCGTTGCCCTGCCCTGGCCCTGCCTTTGGCCTGCCCTGGCTCTGGTTCTGCCCTGGCCTTGCCCTTGCCCTGGACCCTCCCTGACCATGTTTTTACCGTGGTCCTTCTCTGGCCTTGTCCTTTCCCTGTCCCCTTTCTGGTTCTGCCATATTTCTGGCCCTGCCCTGTCCATGTTCTGGACCTGACTCTGGCCCTGGACCTCCCTGTCCCTGCCCTGCCGTACCCTGGCCCATTCCTTGCTCTACACTGACCCTGCCCTGCCTTGGCCCTGTGCTACCCTAGCCCTGCCCTGGCCTTCTGCTGGCCCTGATCCTGCCATGGCCCTGGCCCTGTCATGTCCCTGCCCTGGCCCTGGTTCTGCCCTACTTCTGGCCCTGGCCTTTGTCCTCTCATGTCCCTGGCTGTGACCCTGCCCCTGGTTTTTCTCTGGCCATGACCCTGCCCCGGTTCTGTTCTATCCCTGGCCCTGTCTCAGTTCTGTCCTAGCCCTGGCCTTTCACAGTACTTTGTTCTTAGTAAAGGCTTCATAGTGTCTGTGAGTTTAATGTTGTGTTCATAGTATCTGCCAAAACAGAAAGAAAAAAAACAAAATCTGATCATGAGAAGTTAAAGCTTTGTATATAATATGCCTTGAATTGTAAGTGCTTGTTATTAGTTGTATTACATATAGGTCATGGTTTTGTACACATAACTCTAAACCATTGATACTGTTAAAAGAATATATGAATATATGAAAGAATGTATAAACGTAAGAATGTATGAGTATCTAATGACCTCTCCAAATTAATTTTT
Organism: Homo sapiens; assembly: GCF_000001405.40. Taxonomy (NCBI): domain Eukaryota; kingdom Metazoa; phylum Chordata; class Mammalia; order Primates; family Hominidae; genus Homo; species Homo sapiens. Next base: position 416,286 of record NW_021160000.1, read on the forward strand.
ATTTTTAGCTCTATTAGATTTTTCTCAGTATAACAAATGTTTATTCCTATGTAATTAAGGGCATATTTCCTGTACAGAATATTCATATTACCTAATTGAAAATTATATAATGTAAAAATATAATACTATTTTTAGGCCAGGCATGGTGGCTCATACCTGTAATCCCAACATTTTGAGAGGCCAAGTTTGAAGAATCATTTGAGTCCAGGAATTGACCAGCGTGGGCAACATAGTGAGACCTTTTCTTTATTAAATAAATAAATAAATAAATAAATAAATAAATAAATAAATAGGTTGGGCACTGTGGCTCATATCTGTAATCCCAGCATTTTGGGTTGCCAGGGCAGGAGGATTGCTTGAGCCCAGGATTTTGAGACCAGCCTGGGCAGCATAGCAAGACTCCGTCTCTACTAATAATAAAATATTAGCCAGCTGTGGTGGTGCGCACCTGGGGTCCCAGCTACCTGGGAGGCTAAGGTGGGAGGTTTGCTCGAGGTTGCAATGAACTGTGAATGCACCACTGCATTCCAGCCTAGGCCACAGAACAGGACCTTGTCTATAAATAAATAAGTAAAAAATATAATTAAAAATAAGTAAAAAGAAATATAAGTAAATATAAATATAAATACATATAAATATAAAAATGAATACATGAAAACAAACAATTTTTAAATTTAACATCACTGAGGGCTTCCTATCCATTTCATTTCATGATTCCATTACATCATTTCACTTAGATGAAATGATAAGATGACTTGAGATGAGATGAAATGATGAGATGAAATGATGAAATGATGAAATGATGAGATGAAATTTTGAGATGAAATGGTGAGTAGAAATGACGAGATGAAATGATGAGATAAAATGACAAAATTGAAAGGAGATGAGATGAGATGATGGATGAAATGATGAGATGAAACTAGATGAAATGATGAGAAGAAATGATGAGATGAAATAAAATGAAATAATGAAATGAAATGATATGAAATAATGAAATTGAAATGAGATAAGATGAGATGATATAATGAGATAAAATGATGAGATGAAATGAGATGAACAATAAGATGAAATGATGAAATGAGATGAGATGATAAGATGAAATGATGAGATGAAATGAGATAAAAATGATGAGATGAAAAATGAGATGAAATGAGATGAAATAATGAAATGAGATGAAATGAAATAATGAAAGGAAATTATGAAATGTAATGATGAAATTGAAATGAGATGAGATGAAATGATGAAATGAGATGAGATGAAATGAGATGAAATGATGAGATGAAATGAGATGAGATGAGATGAAATGATGAGATGAAATGAGATGAAATGAAATGAGATGAAATGAGATGTAATGAAATGAGATGAAATGAAATGACATAATGAAATGCAATAATGAAATGAGATGAAATGCAATAATGAAATGATGAAATGAAATGATGACATAATGAAATGGCAATGATGGGATGAGAAGAAATGATGAGATGAAACGATGAAATGATGAGATGAGATGAAATGAGATTAAATGATGAGTTTAAATGATGAGATGAGATGTGATGAAATGATGACATGATATGATGACATGAAATCAGTTGAAATAATGAGATGAAATGAGATGAAATGATGAGATGAGATGAAATGTGTTGAGATGAAATGACATAATGAAATAAAATAATGAAATGAAATGATGAAATGGAATAATGAAATGGAAATGATGAGATGAGATGCAATGAGTTGAAATGATGAGATGAAAAGATGAGATGAGACGAGATGTGATGAAATGATGACATGAAATGACATAAGATGAGATGAAATAAGATGTAATTATGAAACGAGATGAGATGAAATGAGATGAAATGATGAGATGAGATGAAATGAAATGGTGACATAAAATGATGATATGAAATGATGATATGAAATGATATGAATGATGAGATGAAATGATGAGATGAGATGACGAAATGATGAGATGAAATGATGAGATGAAATGAAATGAAATGAAATAATGAAATAATGAGATGAAATGAAATGAAATAATGAAATGAAATGAAATGAAATTGAAATAAAATTGAAATGAGATGAGATGAAATGATGAGATGAAATGATAAGATGAAATGAGATGAAATGATAAGATGAAATGATGAAATAAAATGATGAAATGATGAGATGTGATGAGATGAAATGATGAGATGACATGACATGAAATAATGAAATGAAATAATGAAATGAAATTGAAATGAGATGAGAAGATATGAGGAGATGAAATGATGAGATGAAATGAAATGATGCGATAAGATGAAATGAGTTGATGAAATGATGAGATGAAAAGATGAGATGAAATGATGACAAGAAATGAAATGAAATGATGAGATGAAATGAAATTAGATGCAATGTAATGAGATGAAATGAAATGACATAATGAAATGAAAAAATGAAATGAGGTGAAATTAAAAGAGATGATGAAATTAAATGATGAAATGATGAAATGGAAATGAAATGGAAATGATGAGATGAGATGAAATGACGAGATGAAATGACGAGATGAAAAATGATGAGATGAAATGATGAGATGAATTGAAATGAGATGAAATGAAATAATGAAATAATGAAATGAGATGAAATGAAATGATGAAATGAAATGATATTGAAATGAAATTGAAAGATGAGATGAGATGAAATGATAAGATGAAATGATGAAATGTTGAAATGAAATGATGAAATGAAGAGATGTGGTGAGATGAAATGATGAGCTGAAATGATGAGACAAAATGAAATGAGATTAAATGAGTTGAAAAATGATGAGATGAAATGATGAGATGAAATGAGATGAATTGAGATGAGATGAGATGAAATAATGAAATTAGGTGAAATAATGAAATGAGATGAAATGAAATAATGAAATGAAATTGAAATGAGATGAGAAGAAATGATGAGATGAAATGTTGAAATGAAAGGAGGAAATGATGAGATGAAATGAATTGAGATGAAATGATGAGATGAAAAATGATATGAAAAATGATGAGATGAAATGAAATGAGATGATATGAAGTGACGTAATGAAATAAATGAAATTAGATGAAATGAAATGAAATAGTGAAATGAAATGATGCAATGAAATAATGAAAATGAAATGGAAATGAGATGAGATTTGATGAAATGATGAGATGAAATGATGAGATGATATGATGAGATGAGATAAAATGAGATGAAATGATGAAATGAGATGAAATGATGAGATGAAATGATGAGGTGAAGTGATGCACTGTCACGTGTGTGTCTATTCTTTTTCCCAACCAACAAAAATTATAATTCATTTTAATTTTATTATTTAAGAATATTCTTAAGAGTTGAAGGAAAAATAATATCTACATTATTGGTTACAATCTAAGTATAAATAATACATAAATATATTAAAACTTACTAAGAATATGTTTTGGAATCGAATATACCATGCTTCTGTGATGACAGTTATTTCATGCTGGTTGTCACAATTTTACATGAAAAACTAGTGAAAAAATGTTTTTAACTGTTTCTAAAAATAACAGTTTCCAAAAGAGTTTTACATTCGAAATATGAAAAAGATGTCTTTGTGTTCCTTAATCTGATGAGATTTTCACACTCTGCACATGATAATTGTTAGATTTTTATTGTGTTGATAAATTGTATATCAAATAAAAAATGTTATTACCTCTTAAATTAGGATTTTTAGGTGATATAGGCAGAAAGGAAGGCAAGTTTTTATAACTTTGTCTAAATGAACTTTCTAAATGCCTGAGTATTAAAAGGCAGCATGTCTATAAATCAAACTGTATATATTACTGTATGACCTAGGACCAATCAAAACCATTACCTCTGATAACATTATATTGTGCCCAATATAAAATAGATATAATAATACCTCAAACTTAAATCCAGGCATTGTCATTGAATATCTTAAGAATATGTAGCAAAGGTGCTTTTAAAAATACAAGCTAGTGATTGTACTAAATTTGTAAATCACATAGGATAGTGGGTCATTTTAAGAATATTAGTTATTTCAATCTATAAACATGGATGTCTTTCCTTTTTTGTGTTTTCTTTAATTTCTTTCATTAATATTTGTCATTTTTGTTGTAGAAATCTTTTACTTCCTTGCTTAAATTTATTTCTAAGTACATTTTTGTAGCTATTGTAAAAGGAATTGCTTTCTTAATTTCTTGTTTCAGCTAGTTTACTATCAATATATAGAAATGCTACTGATTTTTGTATGTTTATTTATATCCTGCAACTTTATTAATTTCATGTATCACCCTAAGAAGCTTTTGGTAGCATCTTATTTTTTTCCGTGTATAAGATCACATTGTCTTTAAACAGGGACAATTTGACTGTCTCCTTTCCAAATCAGATGTCCTTTATTTCTTTCTCTCACCTAATTGTCCTGGCTAAGACTTTCACTATGTGAAATATGATTGATGAAAATAGGCATCCTTTTCTTGTTACAATAAAATCTTTTTCTTGTTCACAGTAAAATCTTTCACCTTTTCCACACTCAGTATGATCTTAGCTGTAGATTAGTCCTTTATGTCCTTTGTGTTAAGGCATATATTTTCTATACTAAATTGTTGAGAGGTTTTTTGTCATGTAAGGATATTTAATTTTGCCAAACGCTTTTATTGTGTTTATTAATTTAATCATATGATTTTCAGTATATATCCAAAGGAAACAAAATCAGTATATCAAAGAGTTACCTGCACCTGCATGTTTATTACAACACTATTCACAATAGCCAAGATATGGAATCAACAAAAGTGTCCATCAACAGATGAATGGATAAAGAAATGTGACATACATATATAATGGAATATTATTTAGTCATAATAAAGAACAAAATCCTGTTATTTGTGGCAACAAGAATGCAAGTGGAGGGCATTATGTTAGGTGAAATAAGCCTGGCATAGAAACATAAACACCACATAACTACGTGTTCTCACTTATGTATAGAAGCTAAAATTTTTAAACTCGTAGAAGTAGATAGTAGAGTTTTGGTTACCATATCCTGGAAAGAGTAGGAGAAAGAAGAGTATAAGAAAAATGTGGTTAATACATACAAAATTACAGCTGGAGAGAAGGAAGAAGTTCTAGTTCTCTACAGCACTGTTGGGTGACTGTAGTTAATGGGAATTTATTGTGTGTTTTCAAATAACTAAAATAAAAGATTTTGAATATTCTCACTGCAAAGAAATAATACATGATTTAAGTAGTGGATATGATAATGACTGTGACTTGATCTTTATGCATTGCATAAATATATCAAAATATCACTCTGTACCCCATAGCATGTACATTTATTATATGTCAATTAAAGTAAATTTAAAAGAGAAAAAAATGAAGTAAAGGTAAATGTACAGAATTTAATTATTTTTTCTTCTATAAAACCCAAGAGTCAGTACCAAGAAGAGTCAGTTTATTAGTTTTCTAAAATAAAAAAAAAATCAGTCACCAAAAAAGAGCAATATCCAAGAAAACATTGAAAATGAAACACAACATTTAGTAAGAATAGAAAACTTGGGCACTGTATCACCCTGTTCCTAGATACCGATTTACTGATGGCCATTTAAATAGAATTTTATTCTATCTAATTCATTTATACTCCCAGAGTTTGAAATTACATTTTACCTACAATAAATGAGATAACACTTGTAAATTATATGATACTCTGCCTAACACACGTTAATAACTCAGTAGATGTTAGCAATAAACTTTTAGTATAGTAGTCAAAGTATTAATTTCTCACATTGCAATTTCCTTCAAAGACATGAATACAACCTTTCTAATGACTCCTTGTTCATCAAGATACCTCTTCAAATTATTCTATTTGTTTCATTCAGTATATTATCTGTGTATACCGATATGATATTACACTCTTTTTTTTTTTGAGATGGAATCTCATTCTGTAACTGATGCTGGAGTGAGGTGGCATGATCTGGGTTCACTGCAACCTCCACCTCCCAGGTTCAAGCGATTCTCCTGTCTCAGCCCCCCAAGTAGCTAAAACTACAGGTGCACACCACCATGCCTGTCTAATTTTTGTATTTTTAGTACAGTCAGAGTTTCACCCTGTTGTCCAGGCTGGTCTCGAACTCCTGACCTCAGGTGATCCACCCACCATGGCCTCCCAAAGTGCTGGGATTACAGGCATAAGCCACCGCACCCAGCCTGATATTGCACTCTTGGATTTTGAACACTGAATATCTTTTTGAAAGATTACACCTCTTATCTCTTTGTGCTTCAGAAATTATTTTCCTTCAAGTGTTCTAAGAGTCTAATGAAGAATGAAGTCATGTTTTATCACTTTTGTCCTTAAAGATTTCAGACATGCTGAAACTGATTGAAGTATCATTTGCTACCAGATAGATTAATTATCTCTAGTTGTAGGAGTGGATACATCTTTAATGGTATATTTTGGGTTATTGTCTTATTTTTGATGCAGTATTCTATAAATAATTTATTAAACCTGGCATCCTTGGGTGAGCATGGATTTTTCAACTTTGGTGTTATATTTTATTTGCTTTTAAAACTGCTTTTGAGGCCGGGTATGGTGGCTCTTGCCCATACCCTGCACTTTGGGAGGCCAAGGTGGGCGGATTACCCCAGGTCAGGAGTTCAAGACCAGCCTAGTCAACATGGCAAAACCATGTCTCTACTAAAAACACAAAATTAGCCAGGCATGGTGGTACATGCTTGTTGTCCTAACCACTCGGGAGGCTGAGGCAAGAGAATCACCTGAACCTGGGAGGCAAAAGTTGCTAGGTTGCTGTGAGCCAAGTTCACACCATTGCACTCCAGCCTGGGTGAAAAGAGCAAACCTCTGTCTCAAAAAAAGAAAACCCACCAAAAACTGCTTTTGAATGGAGTTGTACATACAATCTTTATGAAAAAAATTATCAAGTGCATAATAAGTTCATAATAGAAAAACCAATAATACTCCAGGCACAAGTTAGTACTAAAAAAGTTATGTTGAATATTCTCTAATACAACATGCTTTTTCCCTTCATGAACAATTTGTGTTTTACTGAGAAGAGTCATTGTTTATGGTAGACATTAGACTACAGATGAATATGTACTTTAAACACTCTTAGTTGCTTTCTTAATTTTATATCTGCTGCTTTATGCTTCTGTTTATTTTCATTCTTTCCAATGTCCACATTCTAGTAAATTTGAATATTTTAATCCAAGTTTATATACTATTTAATATTGCTTGTATAGTTTAGTATTGTTAAGACTCAAAAAGGTTTACAGAAAGAAGAAAAAGATCAACATGTTATTAATCATTTAAAGATCATTTTGAAATCTTTGACCTTTATATTTTAATGAATAAAATATTAGTAGTTATTAGTATAAAATAATTTATGTCTTTTGGACTTAGCATCCAGTATTTCTTTTTTAATAAAGAAAATAATTATTCTCTTGCAATATACTATGTTTATCTGGGTTTTGAAAAATGATGTTTCCTAATATGCGAAAGCCATTTACATTTTTAAATCTACAAAGGCAAATGGAATGGTACTAAATTATTTACATAATAATGTTTAGATGGTGGCCCTTATAACATTCTTTCTATACTTCCTACAGAGTTGGGGATATGCAATCCTAGAATATTTCTGGGAGCTAATCCTTTAGCTTGATGAATGAAACAAGACTTTTAAATAAAATTAAACTTTCAAATTATCCAGGTAATGGGCCTGTCTTTTAATTCAATGGATATGGAGCATAATGAATTATCCCCTGTTCATTGGGTAATAAGTTCTCATTCTTAACTTATAATACTCAAAATGTCCTTTAATTTTTAATTTTTGATAGTCATATCATTATCCCTAGGTATTTTAGCTTCTATCTTAAATTCTAAAATAATTTTGAAATAGGAGAAAGTATTCTTTATTACTATATGTATTAACCATCATGGTTTTCAAATTTAACTGCAAATGTATCTTTTCATTGCTTCTTGGTGACGCCCTTCACCCTATCCATATTGTCACTACCAAGTGGTGATTACTTTTCAGGTTCACATACTTATTCTTCAGAAAAATCTTCTCTGTGCCTTATAAAGAATATGATTGTTGGCAATCAAAAGCCAGCGAAGTATACATTATTAGCCTGTTGCCTAACTCATTTCTTTAAGAAACTACACTAATTACCCACATACTTATGTTTTTATTTCCTCATTATTTCTGGAGAAAACAAATGCTGCTAACATGATATTTGTAAGAGAGAAAAAAGTATTTTCTTGAAAAGTGCTGTCATTGTAGTACTAACTTACAGTATCAACTTCTTTATCAACTCCTTATACACTTTTTATTCTGAGAGAAATAAAAAAGCTAAAAGTGAAATGACTTTTTTTACTCTCCATATTATAAGCACCCATCTTGGTAATTTAGGGTCTTTATAGTTAGGGTACGTTTTGTCATACTGAGGTTACAAATTAAAAAGTATTTTGTCCCTTTGGGCCTTTCCTTATTCAGTAATACTGTCAGTTTGGCTTTTTTTGTAGGTCAACTTATTGAACTCAGTATTCTGAAATAATGTGTTTACTATCTTTTGATAAGCATTTAAAATATTAGATTTATTGTTACTCTTCTGCCTTCATTGGGCTGGAAGAATAATTGTTTCACTCCACAAAAGTCAAGTTGCAGAGAAAAACACATAGACATTCAACTGCAAAGCAGAGAAACTTGACTATTTTCTGCAATTTTAAAGTGTATATTGAATAAAACCATCTTTTTATTTTCTTTTTTGCTCACTGGCAAATAGTAACAATGTCAAGTATGTTATTATAATGTTATCAAGTTAAAAATCTCAAAAAGTTTTCATAATTACCATTTTAAAATATATAAATAGGTGACCTGATGTTAATTTTTATTGTCTGAGACCATGTCTGTTATTTCAGTCTTTAAAGTCAGTTAGTAATGCAGAGCCTAGCACTTAGCAGATACTCAAAAATTATTTGCTGGATAAAAAAAGGTTAAACATGTAATATACACAAAATGTACTGGAAAAAATGCACCAAACGATTTTGTTATACCAGTTTAATGTAAATATTGCCTTTAAAAGATAATATAGTTTTCAGGTGTCTACAGTGATTTTGTAATATTTGTGCACATATAAAATAATATTTCCAAAAATGTAATCCAGTGGGGAAATATACTTTCTAAATTCTAGATTTATAATTTAGGGTTTAAATTATAAAATCATTAAATAAGACACAAGTGAAATATAGTCAAATATCCCCTTGGAAAAAAATTAAGTGGCCTCTAAAGTGAGGTATTCATATATGTAATTTTACAACCCTCTAGTGATAGAATTAATTAAATATGCCACCAAATTGATTAATTCCAACAGTGTTAAAAGAGAAGCCCTAACAATGCCAGTGACCATGTAACATGGATTTAAGCTACAAGTCATAGAAATGTGATGAGAAGCCTCAGCGCTGTAAAACAGAGGGTGGAGGAAAGCTTTTCCTCTCTCAAATGAGCTTTGCGAGGTATATTTCTTGAAGGATAGAAAGTTGAAGTGTTTAGGACTTTTATGTCTATTCTACTTTGGCTTAGTTTACATGATTCTTAGTTTATTAGCCTAGAAATGGCCAAGAAAACTTAAGGCTCAATAATTAGTTATAAATATGAAATATCCCCAATTTTTAAGATAAAAACAACTTATAAATGTATTTGTCTGTAAAAATTGTGTATATTTTTACAGAACATCTATTTCTTTCTTTTTTTATTTTTTTTATACTTTAAATTCTGGGGTACACATGCACAATGTGCAGGTTTGTTGCATATGTATACATGTGCCATGTTGGTGTGCTGCACCCATTAACTCATCATTTATATTAGGCATATCTCCTAATGATATCCCTCCCCCCTCCCCCCACCCCACAACAGGCCCTGGTGTGTGATGTTCTCCTTCCTGTGTCCAAGTGTTCTCATTGTTCAATTCCCACCTATGAGTGAGAACATGTGGTGTTTGGTTTTTTTGTCCTTGCAATAGTTTGCTGAGAATGATGGTTTCCAGCTTCATCCATGTCCCTACAAAGGACATGAACTCATCATTTTTTATGGATGCATAGTATTCCATGGTGTATATGAGCCACATTTTCTTAATCCAGTCTATCATTTTTGGACATTTGGGTTGGTTCCAAGTCGTTGCTATTGTGAATAGTGCCACAATAAACATACATGTGCATGTGTCTTTATAGCAGCATGATTTATAATCCTTTGGGTATATAACCAGTAGTGGGATGGCTGGGTCAAATGGTATTTCTAGTTCTAGATCCCTGAGGAATGGCCACACTGACTTCCACAATGGTTGAACTAGTTTACAGTCCCACCAACAGTGTGAAAATGTTCCTATTTCTCCACATCCTCCCCAGCACCTGTTGTTTCCTGACTTTTTAATGATCGCCATTCTAACTGGTGTGAGATGGTATCTCATTGTGGTTTTGATTTGCATTTCTCTGATGGGTCCATTTCTTTAAAACAAAGGGAGGGGAGTCTCTCATTTACATTAGTTTTTTTCATAGCCTTTTGGACTTGGCAATTTCTATGTCTTGGAACCTATTTCTTACAGTTTTTCTATGCTAAACTCTGTCCTGGTCAGTTCCAGAGTGTATGAAGAACCAAATGATGTAATTGTATGTGACCTGGCTGTAGTGGAACAAATTTGACTCTTAAGTATGCAGGCTCTAATTTTCCTGTCTGGTTTTGGTAAGTATTCCTTACATAGGTTTTTTCTTTGAAAATCTGGGATTGAGAGGTTGATGAATGAAAATTAATCCTTTCACTTTGTTGTATATAGGTTTGGAATAATTAGGTCAGGGTGGAGTTTTAAGGTCATGAAGGGGGCTGATGACTTACAAATAATGGGCTCTGATTGGGCAACTACTCATCTGAGTTCCTTCCATTTGACCTAATTAAGCTTGTGAAATATACACTAAGCCATGAGCTCATCTTTAAAAAGTTTTATTAAAAGATTTTCAGCTGTTCCAAATGTGACTCATTAGTGGAATGTGTTTTAAAGGATCATATCAGATGAATGAAAGGTATTTGATCCTTTCTTTCCTTAATAATAAAATGATGATTTGGAAAAATAGGCTACAGTCTAACCACAGTGTTATTATTAGGCTTTCTTGTTAAACATAGGTCTAAGCCTAAGTATGTCAATACAACAAATACTGTTTCATTTCTAGTAAAAAAAAAAAAAAAAACAACAAGTCTTTCTGGCATAAGGATGATTTTCATCTGGTTATTTTGAAACATTTTTGTAAAATAAATTTCCATCTATAAAGAACATTTTTATTTGTAAGGAGGGGTATGTCTCTGTGCACTGGAAGAGAGGGAGGACTAAATCACTGGGAAGTCTTATGATAAAGAAGCCATTGGCTTAAATCAGCAAAGCAAGCCATCCCTTGCTTTAAGGTGTTTTTCCTGGCCATCCTGTCCTGACTAGAACTTTACCTACACCTTCCTTTTTGGTTTAGGCAAATTATAGTATCTAAACCTGAAGTCTCAGCTCTGTGTCTTTGAGATATAAATGTTCTACCATGTCTTCTCTGGAACCTGATAACTATCTATCTCTTTAAAATGCAAGTCTAAGGAGATGACTCATCAGAAAAAGAAGAAAAAAGAGGTATTTGGAAATTGTGCAAATTAAAGAAGCCCCTGATGCCAAAGTCTACACATTCCTGAGTGAGTCAGTTCTGGCCAGTTCTAGCTGGATCAAGAGAGCTCTGCTGGGCAGGCCTGAAGAGCAGCTGGATGGCAGACACCTGAGGAGCCAGGTGCCTGAAACTTCCTCCACCTGCTTGAGGAGCACCAAAGCCCAGGTGCTGGCTGGACAACCCCTTCTGGCTGCCTAAGCAGGTGGCAGAGGAAGGAAAAAAGGTCAGAGGCAGAGTGTTGAACCCTGCCTCCCAGGTGGGCGGGAGATTCCTGACGCCAAACTAGGGCCCAGCTTGCCAGGTGAGGTGGGTGAACTGGTGATCCCCCGAGAGAGTGGACGTCAGAACTACATGGCCCCGGACTTCACCTCAGCCAGCGAAGGAGAGAGAGGGTTAATGTTAACTGCAGGAGGCCCACTCTTGCCTTAAATTCTGTAATTCAAACCCTTCCCTTGGAGACAAAACAAACATGACAAGGAATTCTGAGGTCAGGGGACAAGAATCACAAGTTCCCTAGTGGGAGACTGAGGAGGCAGTGTCCTTTCTGCCCTTGGTCTACTGGCTAAGAACCTTCCTCAGCCTGAGCTTTCCACATTGCACTTTCAGCTCTGTTTGAAATTTTACTCCTTTAGTGCTGAGGGAATCGCAGTGTTCGATCCTGAAATCTATACATTCCTAATGGGTGGTTAAAAAAAACCTCAGCAAGAGAAGCAGAAAATGTTTCCTCTTTCTGAAAAACTGTAGAAAGGCAGGCACCATTCTGGGTGGGACATGGTCCTTGCAAAAGTCTTTATTTTATTTTTTTTTTTATTTTGAGATGAAGTTTTGCTCTTGTTGCCCAGACTGGAGTGCAGTGGTGTGATCTCTGCTCATTGCAACCTCCGCCTCCTGGGTTCAAGCAATTCTCTGACCTCAGCCTCCCAAGTAGCTGGAATTACAGGCACCTGTTACCACACCTGGCTAATTTTTTGTATCTTCAGTAGAGATGGAGTTTTGCCATGTTGGCCATGTTGGTCTCGAACTGCTGACCTCAAGTGAGCCACCCGCTTCTGCCTCCCAAAGTGCTGGGATTACAGGCGTGAGTCACTGTGCCCGGCCAAGATTCTGTTTTGATAGAACACTTGTGTCTCTCTCACCTTGTATTTAGAAAAGTTAGAAAGTAAAGGATAATGTATATAGAAAGCTTTTTGAAGACTCTTAAGAAGTTCATAAATATGGGGCACTATACTATGCATATGAAAATATTTCCTATCAGTTGGCAGTTACCACCTCTTATAGTGGCATGGAACCTCTTGAGTTAAACCAAGGCTCAGTGAGATTTGGTGATTTAGGTAGTGTCATTTTATGAACAAGGGGGACCCTACTCACGTCTTTTATTTTATTATACTTCTCTTTGACATTCACTCCAGTTAAAGAACTCTTTCAAAAGACCTCATGCCTGGTCTCACGGAGATTCAAAGGTGTTTGAGTCCTTCCTTATTATGCCCTTGGAAGATGCTTTGAGGACTCCAGTGATGAATCCCAAGTACTCTGTCTCCATTGTCCCTGGTATAGGGCACCTCATCACTCTGGTGTTATCCCTGAAGGGCCTTCATAATAATGTGCTTAAAGAGTCCCTTATTATGTCCTTCAGGATGGAGCTTGACTTACCCAAATTACTATGTACATGTTAAAGAGAGGCTGGAACTGAAGTTGGTAATTTCTCACTGGATCAGTCAACAAGATTTGAGTACTTTCTGTGTGCTCTGCATCATTCTGAGTACTCTGAGGGACAGAATAAGGCATGACTCCTGCCTTCAAGGAGTATGGAATTTAATAGAAGATGACAACATACATGATTGTAAATCTATCTACAGTAGAGTGCCTAATTGTGAGATTCCTAATAAACGGCAAGATATGTTCTGAAAACTTGAAAAGTAAATGAGGTTGAAGAAATTGTGAAAAGTTTAGCAGAGGAGGAATAATTCGTCAGGTTCTTTAAATACAAGTAAAGGGGAAAAGAAGGACCATTTTTAAGTTTAGATATTCCAAGGGTTAGTGGTGAGGTTGATTATGGTATGTCTTCTCGTTGATGAGGGAGGAGACTGGCGAATAGTGGAAAATAAAGTTAAATAGCTAGGGTGGGGCCAAATTACGGGTTTTAATAAAAGCCAGGCATAGAAATTTAGATTGGGGTAGTAGAAAAAGGAAGGCTTTAAAAGTTTTTGAGCCAATGAATGACATCATACAAGTTCTATATAAAGAGCAGTGATTTCAGGATGGGAGACAATGGCATCAGGGAGACCCACTTGAATGCTGGTAAGTAATATTACTAACAGTGCCATTAGTAACATTAATGTTACTAGGGCCTGGACTGATATGCTGATGGAAGTGAGAATGAAGAATAAGGTGGGATGAAAGAGAGTTTGACAAGAGTTTTTTAATGAACCTGAAACTGGAAAGGGCGAGATTAACTAAGCCTGCTTGCCATGGACAGCAATGGGGTTGCTAGAAGATTAGCTGTGCGGAAAAAGTTACGCATTTACCTTTGGGCATTATGAAATGAAATTGACTCTCCATATTCATGGGTTCTGCATCCACCGATTCAAACAACTGTGGAACAAAATTGTCAGAAAAAACAATACAATGATAAAAAATGATGCAAATAAAAAACAACATGGTATACCAACTATTTACATAGCATTTACATCATATTAAGTGTTATTAAGTAATCTAGAGATGATTTAAAGTATATAGGAGGATGTGTGTAGGTTATATGCAAATACTACACTATTTTATACCAGTAACTTGAGCATCCATGGATTTTGGTATACAAGGGGGATCCTGGAACCAATTCCCCATGCGTATCAAAAGATGACTGTATGAGTTATCTGTAAAATGGTTTGGTTGAAATGTTTAGAAAACAGCTAGAAATACAAGACTGGCTGTTGGATGAAAAAACATAGGACTAGGAAATTCAGGTATGCTGGTCTTTTTGAGTATTGCTTAAAGTCATGGGAAAAGAGCTCTCTGTGAGTTCCAGGACAGATGCAAGGACTGGCATTCATGCACAGCTTCTAATAGATAAATCTGAAGAGTTTTTAGTATGCATGTTGACTGAAATTACCTTAGAAGTAATTTTTCTCCTGGTGATAAAAGGCATGTAAGGCTATTTTAGGAAATTGAAAAATGCAAAAAGGTATAAAGAAAAAGAAAAGATAATCATTAATAGTACATTAGTAAACAAGATTTGACTAAAGATATGACTTTCCTCCCGCTTGTTTTCTTATGCATATAAAGGGATAGGAAATATGTATGTATGTATGTGTGTGTATAGGATCATGCACTATATATAGCTTGCTTCTTTTTCCATTATGATAATTTTCCCATGTCATGAATTATGGCTTGCAAGTGCTTATTCTTAAAGGGCTGCATTATTTTTCATTATTTGGATTTATTGTCATTTAATTGGAGCTCTATTATTGAACATTTAGATTGCTTCCAAAATTTTTTGCTCTTGTTAATATATTGTAATAACCTTCTGTGAAACACATACTCTTCACCTGCTACTTACATATGACTTCTGTAAGCAGAGAACTCTGTATCCCCAGGACCTAGAAGGTTACCTGGACATAGTAGTTGCTTAATTAAAAAAAATTATTGATTGAATGAAAGAAGACTATTAAATGTTCAGTTCTTTTTTTATTCTGATTTCCTGTGTATCCAGGGGCCTCTTATTTGGCTGCATGTATGAGTTTGGCTGTAATGAAAGTATTGGCCGTATATGACCATA
Organism: Homo sapiens; assembly: GCF_000001405.40. Taxonomy (NCBI): domain Eukaryota; kingdom Metazoa; phylum Chordata; class Mammalia; order Primates; family Hominidae; genus Homo; species Homo sapiens. The sequence goes on from NW_021160000.1 coordinate 431,747, forward strand.
AACAGGCATTCCTATTTCTGTCACATTTATATTGGTCATTCTGTATTAATACATCTATATCCTGATTTCTATTGAAGCATGGTTATTTTTGTTTGCTTCTAAGCAATGTAGCTACCCTATTGACGCTGATAAAAATAAATTTCTGAACCTATAAGACCGAGGATTGGGCCTAGGTTGTGGTAAATTGGCAAGATAATGGACGCTACCCTGTCAAGAGCCCTCTGAAGAGAAAAGTCTGCCACCCTTCACCAGGTAGAAACTCCTGGCAGTGCCACATTTTCCAGTTTGACGCCCTGTGATACCCTGAAAAGACAGATGTTTGACTCTTTTCAAATAATATTTTAACATATTTTAAGATGCAAAGGCATTGTGTCAGACTTTTTTCTTAAGAATATATTTCATTACCACTCAGAAGTTAGCTTCCAAAAGAAATAAGTGTGTGCAAAGGTTTATGATAGTGGTGTAGAGAAGTTTTTAAAATAAATGTGCATCTTTTATGGTAATAAAAGCACATTATGAAGAATTTTTTAGGTCCAGTTCACAGATTCCTTGTGCCTGGGGAAAACTTTATTAGAAAATTAGATAATTTCTAATTTGATTAGGGGAAGTCTAATGGGAAAACATTTTAACTGAGCGGTCCAATTCGAAACATGAATATCTGTGCTGGAAGCTTCTATTGAACTTTACTTAAGTGACATCTAAGACCCTCTGCCTGTCAGTCCACCATTACCCTAACAGTGGTAGAAATTCTTTATATGACACCTAGATCTTTTTTTGTTGCACTTTTAAGTTATATAGGAAACACACTGCCCACATGTTCATACAACACAGAGTGATTATCTACTTAGTTCCTAAAAAGTTGTATTTGGTTATGGGGTTTGATCCCACTTGTCCAGGGTTTAGGTCAGCTACTGAAGATTAGGATATCTGGGTACCTCTTACTGGAGAATCCATTCCTGTTTTCATTTCATTCCTGGGGACAATATTCGATCTGGTGTGGCCCTCTGTATTATAAAATGTTTCCCAGATTGTGTTTATCTGAAATACAAATCCAAGAAGAAGCATGGTGTTAATTGCCGTGTAAAAAAGATTCCAGAGTCAAGAGCTTGAGAAGTTCTATTCCTTCCTTCATAGGTTCAGTTGTTTAACCCAGCATTTTTCAAACATATTTTACTCCTAGAACCTGTTTTTCCTCAGACATATTTAAGAAAAAAGCGTTTTGTAGAACACATTTGGACAAATGATACTTTATATCATTGCTTTGTTTTTTAAATTTTAGTTTGACTCAATTTTACAGTTTCAGGATTTTGTTTCTGTTTCAGGTTTTAAGCTTTTCTTTTATAAATAGTTACTTTCCTAGTCTGAAATCTATACATTGTTTCAGTGATGAATTCATTATGTAAATTTGCCCATCATTCATCTAAAGGGAATAAACGTTAAATTGTTTTTTTAAATTTTGACTTGTGTCACATATGAGAATATAAAGTATATCTGTACAATAAAGGAAAATGAAACATCAAAGTATCTACCTCAAGTAAAGAAGCAGAACTTGGCCGGGCATGGTGGCTCACACCTGTAATCCCAGCACTTTGGGAGGCAGAAGTGGGAAGATCACTTGAAGCCAGGAGTTGGAGACCAGATTGTTCAATAAAGGAAGACATCATCTCTAACAACAACAACAACAGCAAAAAATTAGCCAGGCATGGTGACACATGCTTATAGTCCCAGCTACTGGTGCAGCCTCGAACTCCTGGTCTCAAGCCATCTTCCCACCTCAGCCTCATGTTCTAGTGAACTTTGTTATGCAGTGTCTCCTATTCTACATGTGCAGGAGTATTTTTACAGTATGTACCTGGAGTGGAATTGCTTGGTCATTGGGCATGTATGTGTTCAGCTCTATTGAGTGGCATCAATCTGTTCTCCAAAGCAGTTGTACCAATCTACACCCTCACCAGCAGTGAATAGTCTTCCCATTGTTCTTCCTCAATGAAACTAGATATTCACAGCCTTTTAGGTTTTTCCTAGAGTATGAAGTGGTATCTCTTTGGGGTTTTAATGTTTATTTCCCTGATTAAAATTGTAGTTGAGCATCTTTTATTATGTTTATGGGCCATTTATGTTTTCTGTTCTGTGAAATTCCTATTCGGGTTTTTTTGCTGATTTTAAATGTTGTTGTTTGTGTTTTTCTTATATAGGACTTCTTCATGCATTCAAGATGCACGTATGTTGTTCAGAATAGTACCTGAGACATAGAAACAACTTTGTAAGAATAGCTATCATTATATTACCATTGTATTTAAGTCTTTGTTTTTATGTGTTACAATTATCTTCTGCTAGTTTGTGGCTTATTTTTCATTCTGTGATGTTAATTTTTTAACCTAGTATTCTATTATTTTAAAAATACACAATCTTGAGTAGTCTACATGGTCATAACCATGGCATATTCATGTTGCGTATGTTCTGTGTCATAACCCAGAATTTTCTTTTTTTTTTTTTTTGAGATGGAGTTTTGCTTTCGTCACCCAGGCTGCAGTGCAATGGCGTGATCTTGGCTCACTGCAACCTCGCCTCCTGGGTTCAAGTGATTCTCCTGCCTCAGCCTCCCGAGTAGCTGGGATTACAGGTAGCTGCCACCACGCCCAGCTAATTTTTGTATTTTTAGTAATGACGTTTCACCATGTTGGCCAGGCTGGTCTCGAAATCCTGACCTCAGGTTATCCGCCGACCTTGGCCTCCCAAAGTGTTGAGATTACAGGCATGAGCAGCTGCACCCAGCCAACTTTCAGTCTTAAGTACCATTTTTTGCTGCTGTTTCTTTTTTTGAACCCCAGGAAAAAATTAACTCATTTAATCCCTTATTCAAACTGCTACAATTTTATTTTCAGTGTTGTCGCCTGGTTGTAGATGCATTTGTCTCTCCAAATGCACTGTGATTATTTTGAAGACAAAACATTTTTAGCATTGTGATATATATATATATATATATATATATATATACACATATATATGTATGTATGTATGTATATATGTATATAATATATATTGTATAAATATTTATATTTTATATATCATATAAAATTTATATATAAAAATATATATATATATAAATGCCTCTTATCCCTAATATAGGGACTCGATTCGTTTCTTCTAGTGTGGAGACAAGTCATATCATGGCTAGGGGCCATGATGGTAGGAGCAGTCAGAGGATTTCTTGCATTGTGATGAGTGCATATAAGTTAAATGAGCCACTTATCAGTAGATTTGATAGCAGGATAACAATTATATCACTGATGCCTAGGCAGTACATGACACTCGGTAAAGAATAGATTAATCCTCATGCTCTTCATCTTCCTCCTAATCTCTTTACCTGTGCTGCCCTCCAACTTTCAAAGTGCTCTGAGTCATCACTTACACAGTGTTCCTTAGCTGCCCCTTCAGTGGGCCAGTGTTTCTGTGCCCCAGTGTTCCTGAGAGTTAGAACACAGAAAACAGAGCAGCCTCTTGCCCACATCACAGAACATCTTTGTCTCCCTGTGGATCCTGCACATTTGTTCATTAGAGCTCAGGAATTGCCAGAGACTGGCTTTTGTGGCAATGGACACTAGATTCTTCAGAAGAATATTGATTGAAATCTCCCTGCTGTGACAGTTCCCTGCATGCAGGGCAGGAGTGTGTGCTTCTTCCCAGCAAAGGCAGAGGCAGGGCCTACAGAAACTGTGCCCGCAGCCTATAGTGATGGGGTCTATGAGGTAATTCAGGCAGATGAGGCAGTTGAGTTCTTTCTGGAAGGCTTGGGGGAAGTCTAAGTCCATTTTCCTGATGGAAGAAAACCAGAAGAATTTATTCTTATGCCATAGACAGACAAAGATCTACGCAAAGTTTGAATCAGGTTTTGAGTAGGATCCACTCACAGGTTTAAATCTATAGCAGGCTACGATTTTATTTTGCACATAACAAAAATGAAAAACTGAGGCACAGAATTCAAGCTTTGCAGAAAAATGTGTTGGCTCCCTAACCAACACACACACACACACACACACACCTACTTTCCCAAATTCTTTCCTCCTGTATGAAAAAAACTTAAGGCTGGGCACAGTGGTTCATGCTTGTAATCCAGCTCTTTGGGAGGCTGAGGCAGCAGGATTGCTTGATCCAAGGAGTCCAAGACCAGCCTGGGCAACATGATGAGACCCTGTCTCTACAAAAAGAAAAGGAGGAAAAAATTAGCTGAGCATGCCAATAGTCCCATCTACTAGGGAGGCTGAAGGGAGAGGATTGCTTGAGCCCAGGAGGTCAAGGCAGCAGTGAGCCGTAATCCAGCCACTACACTCTAGCCTGAATGACAGAGCAAGACTCTGTCTCAAAAATGAACAAAGAAAGAAAAGAAAGAAAGAGAGAGAGAGAGGGAGGGAAGGAGGGAGGAAGGAAGGAAGGAAGGAAGGAATGAAGGAAGGAAAGAAGGAAGGAAAAAAGGAAGGAAGGAAGTTTACAGAGTTTTTTGAGGTGTTAGTGTTCCCTAAATTGTATGGTCTTCAGAGGTTTACCCTCCTATAGCTTCAAGGGGTGAGTCCTGACTGGTAGGAAAATCAATCACACTCTTACTTGTCAGTGATTCATTTAGGGAAGACAGCTAACTAAGCTCTTCCAATTTGATTATTTCATTTAATTGTAACAACCATCTTATCATGACTTCTTCAAAATTACCCTGCCAGTAAGTGTTGGAGGACTCCCCAGAAACAGAAACCACCATGCTTCCTATATAGTCTATGGAACCATGAGCCAACTAAAGGTGTTTCTCAGGTATTTCTTTATATCTTTGGCCAAAATTAAAGAGTTAGGCTTTACTCTCCAAGATACTGCAACAGACAAAAAAAAGCCACCACTGTTTTCTAATGTTGTTTTCTTGTTAATTCAATCAACAAGTATTTTCTGGTAAGTTTAGTGTTCCAGAGACTGTTAACCTGGTGATGCACCGGTTAATAAAACATCCTTAAGAGAAATAAAAGTTTAAAAATAAACCTGATGATAAAATGCAGTAGTGTACACAATGCCACTTATCAGCATGTTTTCTGTCGGTCACCCATGATCCAGAAAATGTCTTTAGTATAAGCCATTGATAAAGATGCCTGAAAAATTTACGTATAGAAGACATAGTCACAAAATTATTTTTTTCTTTGATATCCCTTGTTACCTCAAACAGAATTTACCACTCCAATTCAATTTCTGAATACATGGGAGTTAATAGAATACTCCTAATCCATTTATAGGATCTACACTAAGTAAAAAAATTAAAGACATCTGAAAATTATTTTGTGAGTCCTTATAATCCATATCAACAATCATGGAATATATTATGTAATAGACCAAAAATTAATCATCATATTAACCAAAAACACATAGCAAGGCAAGATAACTAAATATTTTCATTTGGAAATTGGGAAATTTAGTCAATTTTAAAACTCAGCAAATGAGATCATTTCACAGAAGCAACCTAGGTTTGTTGGTAAATTAAAATTATAACATTTTCTTTTGGTTTGGGAGGGTAGTTGCTCTTCTGTAAATTGTGTACTCACATAAGAAATATATCTATGTTCTCAGAGACACTTGCTGTAGAGGTAATAATATGAAGTTAGCTCAGGGATCAGGGCCTCACAGTGCAGTGCTGGTAGCTTTTTTTTTTTTTTTTTTTTTTTTTTTTTTTTGCCCTGCACCTTGAGTAAAAGTTTCCTGAGGCCTCCCCGGAAGCAGAAACCACCATGCTTCCTGCATAGCCTATGGAACCGTGAGCCAACTAAAGGTATTTCTCACGTATTTCTTTATAGCAATGCAAGAACGTACTAATACAGCTAAGCAGAGGCCATCAGGACCAGCAACAGTCTGAGCTGGATGAGAGACAAAGCTAAACTTTGAGCAGCGGCAGGAGCTGCCAAGGAGACAGAAAGGAAGGATGGACTCCTAAATTCCAGGATGTCTCCTTTAAGTCTGTAAGAAGCTCAGCCACCGTCTCCTTACCTGACTCCTCTGGGAAAGAGTTTCCCTAGGTTAATCCATACAGGGATAGGGTAGGAGATGCCATTTGGATCTAGGAGCAGAGGGCAGAGACTCAGCAGGAAAAGTGTCTCTATGAGAAGGAGACACAGTGGAACAGGTGTGTAGGTTCACAGGGCCAGCTATGGGTAGAGTCGGGTGTACATTTTTAGAAGCCACAATTCCCAAAAATCTCCTGACTATAACATCAGTGCACAGAGCCAGTCAAATGGAGGAGGAGTGGGTCCAGGCAATTCAGGAAGAAGGAAAGTAACAAATGAGTTGTTGCAGGAGGACACCTTTTCTGTCGAGGTCACTAAACAAAACATTGTCTCCTCCCCTTAACTTCAGAAACAAGCAATGGAGGGTAAAAGTGTTGCCTGGGCCCTGGGGGCAAAGGCAGTAGATAACTTCTCTGTCGTGTTCTCCAGAAGGGCCCATTCCAGCCTCACAGGCCGAGAAGTCTGTTCGGTTCCCAAGTACTAGAGATGCTGCTATACGGGACTCCCGAATTTCCTTCCTGAAGCAGAGGCTGCCCAGCCTTTTCTTCCTGTTTTATTTTTTCCCAGGAAGAAACTTTCTTGTACAATTACAAGGTTCTACGGTTCTAAATTCCAATCTAGTCTTCCACATCATTTTGAAGGTATAATATTACTTGTCAAAATGGGATGATAGAAGATATGTGTGGACATAAATTGTTGACAAGGAAAAAACTAAAATAAGAAAATAAGAGAGAAAAATATATGTATGTACAGTGGTTAGCTAGAAATATGCCTTTTAAATATTTGGCATGTGGTATGTGGGCCTCAATATGTACTATTGCACTAGCTTCCCCAATATTAAGGGATGTCTTTTAAAAGAAAAACCTCTTCCTAAAAGGTTAACAGTTAAAATAACCAGAGTGGCACAGGTACCAGTCATTAAGTGAAACCTTTCATCTTCCCAGAATAGTACCTGTTCCCAAGCCAGCTTCTTTGAAAATCTCTTTTCTCTCCTTTACTATTTAGTTTACAGATTGTATAGTAACATTACAGAAACCACAATAGTAGCAAAAAAATAAATAATATTTTTAAATGAAAACTCACATCCTAACTCTACCAAAACATGAAAATTAAACCTGAATGCCTCCCATTCCTGATATATTTTTCACCTAAATATTCAGCTCTGGGATTGCATTGTTTTTGGATTGAGTGGAAATTATTGCCTGGTCTTGAAATCTTCCATAATGTGTGTGTGTGTGTGTGTGTGCATGTGTGTATGTGTATGTATGTATGTGTGGTGAATATATTTCTTTTTGTTCAGAGCAAACATTTTTTCAATATGTATATTTATTTTAGGCAGATTATGCTAGTAATTTTCTACAAATGTGCTTTTTAAAAAATAACCTTTAACTAAAAAAAAAATTATTCTTACTCAGTGGCCCACAATTGTTAAAAATGCTACTAATGGAGCTGGGTATGGTGACACACACCTGTCATCCCAGCTACTTGGGAGACTGAGGCAGGGGTATTGCTTAAATTTGGGAATGTGAAACCAGCCTGGGCAACATAGTGAGATCTCAATCTCAAAAATCAATCAATCATTAAAAAATAAAATAAAATAAAACACTACTAATAGCTTTTTAAAAAATAGTTCTTAACCAATTTTCCTAGCACCTTCCTTTCCTCAGTGAAGTATAGAAATATGTGGTCAGGCACTGTGGCTCACACCTATAATCCCAATAATTTGGGAAGCCAAGGTATGAGGATCAGTTGATTCCAGGAGTTCAAGACTAGCCAGGGTGATATAATGAGACTTGGTCTCTAACAAAAATTTTTTTTTCTTTAATTACCAGGGCATGATGGTGCATGCCTGTAGCCCAGCTACTTGGAAGGCTGAGGTAGGAGAATCACTTGAGCCCAGGAGGTCAAGGCTGCAGTGAGCCATGGTTGCACCACTGCACTCCATACCTGGGTGACAGAGTGAGACACAGTATCAAACACAAACAAACAACAACAAAAAGTATTTGTTTTAGAAAAAACATTTGGTGAGGTTTGGGCTTAAAAATATATTATTCTAAAATATTCATAAATATTCTCTAGTAATGATAAGATTAAAGTGACAAAGACAAACTTTTTTCCTGTGCAGTTCCATCTCTCACCTTCCTGTAATTTGTCTGTCCCATCCAGCTTCCAAAGGAAATTATTTACAAAATAATGTCTGCATCCTGGGTCTATATATCTATTGCCTATGAGGAGAGCGTTTAAGATCTGAGCCATCTTCAAGTCTTATTCTTTGTGTATAGCTCTCATGTTTTTGCAGGTTAAGTAAGTTTGTATACCCTTTATTTTATTAATCTGTGTATGGTCAGTTCATTTCAGGTAATCTTCAGAGGGTGAAAGGGGAAGCTTTTCACTTCACTCCTACTGTGACAACTAACTACTTTCTTAATTATTCAATTTTTTAGTCTATATCAACACTTTCATATACATTTACTTTTAAACAAAATTTTGCATCATTACACTTAAAATTTTATTTACCTTTTAAAAAGGAAATTAAAAATAAAATTAAAAATTATAAAATTTTACATAATAAAAATAAAATAAATGATTTATATAAAAATTAATCTGACCTGTGAAAAACACTATCCAGAGGCCAGGCGTGGTGGCTAACGCTTTTAATCCCAGCACTTTGGGAGACCGAGGTGGGTGGATCACGAGGTCAGGCGATCTAGACCACGATGAAACCCCTCTCTACCAAAAATACAAAAAATTAGCTGGGCGTAGTGGCGGGCGCCTGTAGTCCCAGCCACTTGGAGAGGCTGAGGCAGGAGAATGGCATGAACCCGGGAAGTGGAGCTTGCAGTGAGCCGAGATCATGCCACTGGAATCCAGCCTGGGTGACAGAGCCAGACTCTGTCAAAAAAAAAAAAAAAAAAAAAAAAAGAAAAAGAAAAAGAAAAACACTATCGAGAGAATAAAAAGACAAATCACAGACTGGGAGTAAAAATTTACAAAAGCTATATCTGGTGAAGATACATTTGTTATCCAAAATATACAAAGAACTCTCAGGACTCAATAATAGGAAAACAAATAGTCTAACACAAATGTAGAGATCTGAACAGACATTGCACCATAGAATACAGATGGATGATATGTAAGAACATTGAAAGATGTTCAACATCATTCATCATTAGGGAAATGTAAATTAAAACCACAATGAGATACTGCTACATGCCTATTAGAATAGCTAAAATTTAAAAGACTGACCATACTAAACATTGGTGAGAACACAAAGGAAAAGGAATGCTCATACACTGCTGCTGGAAATATAGCCACTTTTTCAGTTTCTTTAAAAGTTAAAGTGGCTGGGAGCAGTGGCTCACGCCTGTAATCCCAGCACTTTGGGAGGCCAAGGCGGGCAGATCACGAGGTCGGGAAATCAAGACCATCCTAGCTAACACGATGAAACCCCATACCTACTAAAAATACAAAAAATTAGCCGGGCGTGGTGGCTAGCACCTGTAATCCCAGCTACTCCAGAGGCTGAGGCAGGAGAATGGCGTGGACCCGGGAGGCGGAGCTTTCAGTGAGCCGCGATGCACCACTGCACTCCAGCCTGGGCAACAGAGCGAGACTCCGTCTCAAAAAAAAAAAAAAAGGTGAACATATCACACCACCTAGTCATTCAAATCCTGCTTATTTGCCCAAGACAAATGAAAGCGTATGTCCAAATGATTGGACAAACATTCGTAGCAACTTTATTAGAAATAGCAAAAACAACTGGAAGCAAACCAAATGTCCATCAAGAGGTGAATAGATACTCTAACTGTAGAATATCCATACAATAAAACTATTTTTTTTAAACTACGGGACAAAAAACAAAAAACCAAAGATAGAATCTAACTTCTTGGTAAATACATTCACTACTAGGATTTTTATAACAGAGAAGTCATTCTTTATTAACACTCTTTTGACTATGAAAATATTTTGACATCAAAAATCTGCAAAATTTGAAGAAACAAAGGACACACAGCTTTTTCTATTTTTTATTTTTATTTTATTTTTATTTTTTTGAGGAGTCTCTTTCTGTCACCCAGGCTGGAGTGCAGTGGCGCGATCTTAGCTCACTGCAAGCTGCGCCTCCCGGTTCACGCCATTCTCCTGCCTCAGTCTCCCGAATAGCTGGGACTACAGGCGCCCGCCACCAATCCCGGCTAATTTTTTGTATTTTTAGTAGAGACGGGGTTTCACCGTTATCCAGGATGGTCTCAATCTCATGACCTCGTGATCTGCCCGCCTCGGCCTCTCAAAGTGCTGGGATTACAGGCGTGAGCCACCGCCCCCGGCCCCAGGACACACAGCTTTAAAATTTCTTCTTGGTCTCACCCAGTGCCAACCACCTAAAACCTCTCATTTTCCCACAGACATTTCTTCTGCCTCCAGGACGGAGGTAGAGAATCTTGGCCTTGGGCCACGCACTGGGGACCATGCTGGGCTGCCATGGTCAGTGACGGACTCAGGTTCTCACCAGGGTCCCCAAAATAGGCCCCTGAAAAAAATGTTACCATCAGGGTGTGCTCCCTGATTCTTGTGTCTGCTGGAAGGAGGAAATCAAGTCAGGAACATTGTCAGGATAGAGATGAAAATGGGGCTCACTTTTCTGTCTCTTGTGATGTCAGACAAGCCTTTCAGCTCTGTCTCCTCAGCCCTCATGGAATTGTTTGGTGTGGACGCACCGAGATTCTGAACTGGGTCCCCTTTCCCTCTGCCCTTCTCTGGGGCCACATTCTGAGCTCTCCATTCCAATTTTTCCCCTAATTTGCCCTTGCATTTATTTATCTGGATTACTGTCTGCCTGTCCCAAAGAATAAAAGCTTTATCACAGTGGGGATTTTGTTTAAAAAATAATAATAACAGCTATATTTTTAGGAACCATAACACTGTCCAGCATATCGGTGGTGTCTGATAAAAAATGTTCGTTGACTGAATGAACAAATATATTATTCACAATTCACATTATCATGAACTGGCTAGGAAATTAAATACCTGATATCAGTATTGGCAACATTATGAAGTAAATATAATTCTGATACAGTGCTCGTGAAAGTCTAATATGAAATGCTCATTTTAGAAAACATTTTCTTGTAGATTTGAAAATGTTTCATCTCCATGAACTAGTTGTACATCTGCAAGTTGTGTATCTTTGGGTTAGGCAGAATAATTGCCCCCCACCAAAGACAGCCACATCCCAGTCTTCAGATAAGGTGAACATGCTAACGTAAGTTAGCATGTTCAAAGGGACTTGGCAGATGTGATTACCATTAAGGGAAATTACCTTGAATTACCTTGGTGAGCCAATCTAATCTCATAATTCCTTGAGAGCAGAGAATATTTTCTGGATGCTGAGATTCAGACAGATGGCAGTATGAGAAAGATGTGGCCTGCTATTACTGGCTTTTAAAACAGTGGTAGGGGGCCACAAGCCAAGGAAAGCCAGTGACCTTAGAAGCTGGGAATGACCCAAAGTTTACAACCAGGAAGAAACTGAGGATCTACAACAAGGAACTGAATTCTGCCAACAACCCAGATGCTCTTTTAGAGCCTTCAGAAAGAAATGCAGCCTGCCAACATCTTGATGTTAGTTCAGTGAGAGCCATGCCAGATTTCCAACCAAAACAATTCTAAGACAATAAGTTTGTGTGTGTTTTTTAAAACTGACTCAAATCTTACAAAAATGTGTTCTTTTAAGCCACTGAATTTGTGGTAAATTGTTACAGCAGGAATAGAAAACTGATACAACCCTAGAGAAAGTCTTTTACCTGTGCCCTGTAAACACACAGCAGAATTTTTTTTAACTTTTTATTGAGTTAAAAATACATATATAATTTACCTTCTGTACATTTTTAGAGGACAGTTTAGTGGTGATAAATACATTTATATTTTCTTCTCTTAATCTCCTCTTCCCACTCCCCTTGCTGGCCTCTAGCAACCACCGATTTACTTTCTATCTTCATGAGATCCACTTTTTTACTGCCCACATATGAGTGACAACATGTGGTATTTGCCTTTCTGTGCTTGGCTCATTCCACTTAACACAATGGCCTATGTTCATTAGGTTAAACCAAATGGCCAGCGCCACCTGTGTTGCTGCGAATGACAGAATTTCATTCTTCTTTGTATCTGAGTGGTATTCCATTATGTGTATATATGACTTTTAAAATCTATTCATTTGTTGGTGAGCACTTACGTTGATTCCATATTTTGTCTATTGTGAATAGCGCTGCAGTACACATCGGCATGTAGATATGTCTTTGATACATTAATTTCCTTTATTTTGGATATATATCCAGTAAAGAAATTGCTGGACCACATGGTAGTTCTATTTTTACTTTTTTGAGGAACCTCCATACTGTTCTCCATAGTGGCTTTATTAATGTAGATTCCCACCAACAGTGTGGTAGTATTTCCCTTTCTCCACATCCTTGCCAGCATCTGTTATTGCCTGTCTTTTTGAAACAAGTCATTTCAACCAAGGTGAGATGATATTGCATTGTGATTTTGATCTGCATTTCTTTGACGAATAGTGATATTTAACATTTTTTCATCTTCCTATTGGCCATTTGTATGTCTTCTTTTGAGAAAATATCTGTTCAGATCTTTTGCCCATTTTTAAATTGTATTTATTTATATATTTTTAACTATTGTTTTTTTTAGAAGCAAGGTCTTGCTTTGTCACCCAAGCTAAAGGGCAGTAGCATAATCATAGCTCACTGTAACCTCAAACTCCTGGGATTAAGAAATCCTCCTGACCAGGCGCGGTGGCTCACGCCTGTATTCCCAGCACTTTGGGAGGCCGAGGCGGGCAGATCACGAGGTCAGGAGATCGAGACCATCCTGGCTAACAAGGTGAAACCCCGTCTCTACTAAAAATACAAAAAATTAGCAGGACTTGGTGCCGGGCGCCTGTAGTCCCAGCTACTCAGGAGGCTGAGGCAGGAGAATGGCGTGAACCCCGGGGGAGCAGAGCCTGCAGTGAGCCGAGATCGTGCCACTGCACTCCAGCCTGGGCGACAGCGAGACTCCATCTCACAAAAAAAAAAAAAAAAAAAAAAAGAAATCCTCCTACCTCAGCCTCTTCAGTAGCCCATTTTTCAATCAGATTTTTTGTTTGTGTATTATTGAGTTGTTTGAGCTCCTTATATATTCTACTTGTTAATCCTTTATCAGATAGATAGTTTGAAAATATTTTGTCCCATTCTCTGGTTAGCTCTTCACTTTGTTGATTGTTTCCTTTGCTTGAGGCTTTTTAGTTTGATATAATCCCATTGTCTATTTTTGATTTTGTTGCCTGTGTTTCCGAGGTCTTACGCAAAAAAATCTTTGCCCAGACTAATGTCCTGGAGCATTTCTCCTATGCTTTCTTTTTTTCTTTCTTTTTTTGTTTTCACGCCATTCTCCTGCCTCAGCCTCCTGAGTAGCTGGGACTACAGGCGCCCACCATCATGCCCCGCTAATATATTTTTTTTTTGTATTTTTAGTAGAGACAGAGTTTCACCATGTTAGCCAGGGTGGTCTCGATCTCCTGACCTTGTGATCTGGCTGCCTTGGCCTCCCAAAGTGCTGAGATTACAGATGAGAGCCACCGCACCCAGCCTTTCCTATGCTTTTTTTTTTTTTTACTAGCTTCACAGTTTCAGGTCTCAGATTCAAGTCTTTAATCCATTTTTATTTGATTTGATTTTTGTGTATGGTAAGATGGGTTTCATTTTATCCTTCTGCATATGGTTATTCAGTTTTCCCAGGATCATTTATTGAAAAGACTGTTGTTTTCCCAGTGTATGTTCTTGATGCCTTTGTCAGAGATGAGTTGTTAGTAAATGTGTATATTTGTCTGTGATCTCTATTCTGTTCCACTGTCCTATGTGTCTGTTTTTATGCCAGAAGAAATATATTGGCAATAATTAGTACAGAAAAGCTGAAACAATGAAATGACAAAACTGAACTATACTGATATAATTCATTATGCTCACTAAATGCAATAGCATACAGCTAGGAAAACAATGTAGTGCACACGGTATTAAAATACAACACAATTCAATATACACAGTGCTCATAGTGGCCATCGTTAGAGTGTTGAAGAAGGGGATGTAGTCAGCAATAGTTGTACAGGTGACTTCAAAAGTAATAATAAGCACTTATGATTACTTTTGGCTTAATTTCTTAAACCAAGACTGGAGACACAGGTGTTCATTATGTGCTTATTATATATATAAAATAAATATTTTATAAATATATTGTTTCTATTCAGTATTTAATAAAGTAAATCAATAGAAAAGGTTAAAAAGCAAAGCACACATATTTCAAATGTTTTTTGCTCCAAATTATATAAACATTGCATAGTTATTGCCCTGGGCCTGGCAAGGTGACTCACACCTCTCATCCTAGCACTTTAGGAGACTGAGGCAGGAGGATAGCTTCAGCCCCAGAGGTCAAGGCTGCAGTGAGCCTTAATTGCACTACTGCACTCCAGCCTAGGTGACAGAGCAAGATGCTGTCTGAAGATAAAAATAAAAATAAGTTAATAAATAAATAAATATATGTTTATATATTAACTGATTTTATTAACTATATATATATATAGTTGTTGTCTTGGTCTATATGCAATCTTACAGTGCTTAAGACTTTGATACTGAGAACAGATCTCCTAGGTATATGCTGTGTTTCTGGGGTGACATGATGCTCTCATCTGGCCTCCGTGAGCCTAATTCTATCTTACATTTACCCCACTCTTCAACAACAACTTGGGGAGGTGTCCCTAAACATTCCTAGGTGAACCCAAACCTGTGGCCCTCAACACATTTCTAGGTAAAGCAAGCTCCTGACATATCCGTGGATATCCTCTCATTGGAAGAAGGGGGAAGAGGCCATCTCAAAATAATTCATTTAATATAGCTTTTCAGCATTAATTTTATTTTGATAAAGAGACACACAGCAAATAAAATTTCTAAAAAACTATAAACTTTCAAGCATTCTCACGCTAAATCTAGCCCTGCTCACATGCCAGGGAAATATAAAGGTAATCTGTTTCTCAACCTGACCAGGATGCTACAGTAATTAAAAATAAACTCAATCCCTGGATCCC
This sequence comes from Homo sapiens, assembly GCF_000001405.40. Lineage (NCBI taxonomy): Eukaryota > Metazoa > Chordata > Mammalia > Primates > Hominidae > Homo > Homo sapiens. The sequence goes on from NW_021160000.1 coordinate 446,897, forward strand.
TACCAAAGGGTCATTTCATATGGATCAAAGTTCTGGAAAAATTATTTGTCTGGAAATAGACTAATTTTCCAAAATATAATTGAAATAACAGCCTCTGGAAAGGGCCAAATACGACTCTTAATGATACAACAGCTAAATATAGGTCTGATGCTCATTCCGTGTGGACAACAATAGCAGCCGTCCCCACAAATGGCTGATTTGTGGGAAGTAAACACTACTTTTGCAGAATCTTACATGATTTCAGTAGAAGGGCAAGGATATTTCAGTTGGGAACAGATTGCTCCATGGTAATGTGATCACTATGTACCCAACAATGGCTCTTTCTTCCTAGCATCAATGCAGATGTTATTTTCACCTTAACTATTATCATTGCCTTTTCTAACCACATAAAAGTGTATCCTTTATATATCTGAAGTAAATTCATACTAGTGGTGTAACATCTCCAGCCATTTAAGTGTAAAAACAGAAAATGTATGATGTGTTTACTTACTGTTTTATACTCCTAACGCATGAAGAGAAGATCCTTTTATTCATTGCCTATACTTTTATTTCAAAACTTTCTGTAACACTTTATCTTATATCCAGCATAGAATTAAGATTTGCTTTTTGATTTAATCTGACAATATTTTTTCCTCTAGTAAGAGTCAAGCCCGCTTACTTTTAATGATAAATTGTGTTTGGTTATATTTTGTTTACAGTATATTATGCTATGATTTATATGCACATATCTGTCTTTTGCTGTCTTGTTTGTTTTTATTGCTTTTGTTTTGATGTTGTGATATTTGGAAGAGTTAAACTTTTATTCTGATGGCTACCTTATGTAATTTCAGAAAATCATCTCTTTCTTTAGACAGTAGCTAATGTCTCTAAACTAAGAACAATGGTATTAGCTGTATTCTCTTTCTTGTCCTCCCTATGTGATTTTTCATCACACAATTTGATTTAATCATATTAACTTTGATTCCCCTGATGCCATTAAGTGTGTTTACATTTCTATAAACAATATCCTTTGACTCCCAGGCATTACAGTTGAGCAGTCAGTAAAATCATTCTGAGGAATACTTTCTCTTTCCTTTTCTTCCATTTTTCTTAGTTGTATCATTTCTATATTGCCAGAGCACCTACAGTTGCATTTCTTTCTGTCAGCTTTATCCAGCATTTGTTTTTGTCTTTTATTTGAAGTTAAATATATTCCTTGCTCACTACAACACTGGGGGAAGGAAGGTTTCTGTTGTCATTGTTGTGCTTGTACAGTTGTTTATTTAAAAACATTGGCAAAAACAAAAACTGTATGTAGATGGAATGGAGATAAGACAGAAAATGAGAGAGACTGATTATGAGTGTGCCTATTCTAGACTGGGAGGCGTGCTACACTGAGTAGTGTCTGAAGGCCGCAGGAAAGGATGGATGATTGTGAGCAGGTAGACTTTCCACTGGAGGAGAGAAGTCCTGCTCTCAACAACCTGTGCAGAACCAGAAACTGGTAATGCTTCAAATCAACTTACAGACCTTTAGGTAGAAATTTAAGAAAACTCGTTTAACACCTAGTTTCCTAGAAAATATTAGCTACTATTTGCTGAGCATCTGTCAGTCTGTCTGTAGCATGGAAGATCTGAGTACAGGGGAAACTGAATTAGTAACAGTGGGTCAGAAAATTATATAATATTCAACCAAAATTCCTGCTTTACATACATAGCACCTGGTATTTCCAGAACTAGAAGGTAAAGAAATTATTTGTGCTTGAACTTGCAGAAAACTGCCTTTTCCCTTCTTCTCTTGCATCTTAACCTGGAGCTTTCCTTTTCTTGGGCCTCAGTGTGCTTCCCAACTCAATTTATAATTGACTTTCTGCAGTTTCTCCTTAGGACAGGGCTTTGTTTTGGGGGTGGTTAATTTGTAGGGTTCATAGGAAACAGACCACTCGCAGCACCTGCTTTTTGCCATCCTCACTCTCAGCTATGAGTTGAGGCCCAGGAAGCCTTCTGCCAGTCTCAGCTGCTGTTCTCAGATTAATCTGCTGAGTTCTTTTTGCCTAGTAAGAATCTCTGAATTTAGGAACATAGATGTTAGCGCTTCTATTTCTAGGTTTTCCAGTTCCCAGGGCCATTAAACATTTTTTTCCTTTCCTTTCCTTCTTCCAAAAAAATTGGTGATTCCCCTGGATCCCTGTGGTTTAACCTCACAAAAGGTCCATGATGACACCCTGTTACATTGTTTTGTCATAGTTAATACCTTGTTATCCCAGTTGCTCAGTCAGTTTTTGTGAGAGATTCAGGGATATTAATAAAACTGTGCTGCTGCTGCTACTAACATCTTGCATAAAATCCTATTAATTAAAATGTTTATTTTGCATGTGATTTGAACTTGTAATTTTTATTCAAAGTTTTTCAACAGAGATCCAGAAAAGACCCTCCTTATATTTTTAGTTGTGTGCATTGCAACACTTTTTAGTGAAAAAAAAAAAAAACATGAGAACAACACAAGTGATTTTAAAAGAATAAACCTACAATCCATTAATTATAAAATGAAATACTATGGAGATGTTAAGAATGAGGGAATCAATAAGAACTTGTGTGGGGTAACTACAAACTTTTAAAAAATTAATTTAATGCTCATGTGACCATATTATCGTTAAAAAATACTAGCATACTTGCACACACCTTCAAGCAAAATGGGTACACGCATTTAAAAATGTTTAAATTAAGTAAATGGCCCAATAATTTAACTATGTACAATTCTATGTTCTCTGATTATTTTATATGCTAGAAACAGACATTTCTGTTTTGTTTATTTCATTTGAAATAATTGTAGTCACATGAGGTTTAAGTTATAATACAGAGAGGTCACATATGCCTATTTTCTAATTGAATACCTTATTTATTACTATTGAGTTTTGAGAATTTTTTACATATGCTAGATGTAAGTTCTTTGTCAGATGTATGGTATGCAAATTATTTCTCCCAGTCTGTAATTCATTTTTTCAACCTCTTTACAGGGTTTTTCTAAGTAAAAAAAAAAAAAAAAAAAAAAAAGTATTATTTTAATGAAGTCCAGTTTTATCACTTTTTCCTTTTGTAGATTTTGTTTTTGATATCAAGCCTAAAAATTATTTGCCTAACCCAAGGTCTCAAGAGTTTTCTTCTATTTTAAAAGTTTAATGTATTTATTTATTAATTATTTTTGAGACGAGGTTTCGCCCAAGCTGTAGTGCAGTGGTGCCATCATTGCTCACTGCATCCACTAACTGCTGGATTGAAGTGATGCTTCCACCTCAGCCACTTCAGTAGTAGCTGGGATTACAGGCACGAGCTACCATACACAACTTTAAGTTTTATAATATTACATTTTACATTTAAGCCTGTGATTTATGTGAGCTAAATTTTATATAAAGTATAAATTTAGGTCAGTCTTAGTTTTTGTACCTGTGAATGTCCAATTGCTCTAGCACCATTTGTTGAAAAAGATATCTTTCCTTTAAACTGATTTTACATCCTTGTAAAAAAAAATCAGTTGAATATAGTGTGGTCTGTCATCTTTTAATAAGATAAAAACATTGGCACTCACCAGATATCAAAGTTTAGATATTTTTTTAAAGCTGAACTTCTGAAAATAGAATAAAAACACCTTCACATGTCAAATTAGTCAATTTATATAGGACTAATTCATTTAAATATATTAAAATACAAAATAATTCAAACCAGTAAAGTGATAATACAAGCCTATAAATTTAAAGGCTAATTATTAAGTCAAATTGCTGTATTCTACGTGTTAGAGTGAGTTCAAAAGATCCATTGTATTACTGAATAGGCAAAAGTTTTAATTTCAGAGGATGAAACTGATATATTACTGTCACCTTGTGGATATTCTGTTATTACAGGCTCTTATAAAAAGCAATGAGGGTATGTAATCTGTTCTAACAAGAAGCGTTTCCTTTTTTTTGTTGTTTTTATTATTGTTATTATTACATTTTAAGTTCTGAGATACATGTACAGAACGTGGAGGTTTGTTACATAGGTATACACATGCCATGGTGGTTTACTGCACCCATCAACCCATCATCTACATTAGGTATTTCTCCTAATGCTATCACTCCCCCTGCCTCCCACCCCCCTGACAGGCCTCGGTATATGATGTTCCCCTCCCTGTGTCCATGTGTTCTCATTGTTCAACTCAAAAGAAAATCAGAAGCATTTTCTGCTTTCCCAATTTCTTAAATACAATGCAACTTTATGTTTAATTTAACTAACTTAATTTTTTGAGACAAGGTCTAGCTCTGTTGCCCAGGCTGGAGTGGAGTGGCGTGAATATGGTTCAGTGAAACCTCCACCTCCCTGGCTCAAGTGATCCTCCTTCCTCAGCCTCTCGAGTAGCTAGGACCACAGGCACACACCACCATGGCCAGCTAATCTCTTTTTTATTTTTTGTAGAGATGAGGTCTCACTTTGTTGTCCACGCTGGTCTCAAACTCCTGGGCTCAAAGGATCCTCTTGACATGGCCTCCCACAGGGCTGGGATTTATAGGTGTGTGCCATGGCACCAGGCCTAAGCAACTGTAGAGAAGCCTTTTTTTCTTTCATAAAAACAGTTGTAGATATTTTCCTTATGGAATTTATTTGTGGTGAAATATTTTAATAGACGGATTAATTTGTTAAATAATTTGTCTCAGATAAAAATAATTGATTAATATTAAAACTACAAAACAAGTAGGGTCTTCTTTTTCTATGAAAAATGAAAGTTGATTCTGACATTTATGTAAACATTTTAAATATTCAAAGTATATAAATGTGAAGTCCTATCAAGGGTAATTAGACAAGAGAAAGAAATAAAGGGCATTCGAATCGGAAAGGAGGACATCAAATTGTTCCTATTGGCAGATGACATGATCTTATATATAGGAAAACCTGAAGACTCTACCAGAAAACTTTTAGAACAAACAAATTCAGTGAAGTTGCAAGACACAAAACTAATACACAAAGATTGGTTGCATTTATATATATGAACAACAAACTCGCTGAAAAAGAAATTAAGAAGGCAAACCCATTTACAATAGTTACCAAAAAAAACCCAGACATAAATGTAACCAAGGAGGTAAAATGAAAACTACAAAACACTAATGAAAGAAATTGAAGAGGATACAAACAAATGAGAAGACATTCACACTCATGGATCAGAAATATGAATGTTGTTAAAGTGACAGTACTACTCAAACGTAACCTACAGATTCAATGCAATCTCTATCAAAATACCTATGAACATTCCTCACAAAATTAAAAAAAAAATCCAAAGAGATTTTATGGAATCAAAAAATATTCTGAATAACCAAAGCCATCCTAAGCAAAAAGAACAAAGCTGGATGTATCATGCTACCAGACCTCAGAATATACTACAAAACTGTAGTAACCCAAAACATCATGGTATTGGCATAAAAACAGACACATAGACCTATGGAATAGAATAAAGAACCCAGAAAATCCACATATCTCAGCCAACGGATTTTTTACAAAGATGCCAAGAACAGTCATTGGGGAAAGGATAGTCTCTTCAATAAATGGTGCTGGAAAAACTGGATATCCATATGCCGAAGAATGAAACTAAACCTCTGCCTCTCACCCTATACAAAAATCAACTCAAAGTATCTCAAATACCCAAATATAAGACCCAAAATGGTAAAGCTACTAGAAGAGAACATAGGGAAGATCCTTCAGGACATTGCTCTGGGAAAATATTTTATGAATAAGGCATCAAAAGCACAGGCAACAAAAGAAAAAATAAACAAATGGGATCACATCAAGCTAAAAATCTTCTGCACAGCAAAGGAAATAATAAAGTGAGTGAAAACACAACCTACAGAATGGGAGAAAATATAAACTCATCTGGCAGGAAATTAATATCAAGAATATACAAGGAATTCAAACATATCAACAGCAAAGAAGCACAACAATCTAATTAAATATAAACAAATGCTCTGAACAGACATTTCTCAAAAGAAGACATACAAATTACCAACAAATATATGTAAAAATGTTCAACACCACTAATCAGCAAGGAAATGCTAATCAAAGCCACAGTGAGGCATCATCTTACTCCAGTTAGGATGGCTATAATAGAAGAGACAAAAATAACAAATGCTGACAACGACGTGAAGAAAAGGGACCTTTTTTTGACAGAATCTCACTCTCCGTCCAGGCTGGAGTGCAGTGGTGGTGTAATCTGGCTCCCTCTGCTTCTAGGGTTCAAATAGTTCTCCTCCCTCAGCCTCCTGGGTAACCGGAGAAAAAGGAACTCTTATGAACTGTTGGTAGGAATGTAAATTAGTGCAGCCAGTATGGAGAACTTTATTGAAACCCCTCAAGCAATCCCACTACTGGGAATTTATCCAAAGGAAAGAAAAGCATTATATTGCAGAGACATCTGCATCCCCATGTTTATTGCAACAGTGTTCACAATAGCCAAGATATGGAATCAACCTAGGTTTCCAACAACAGATGAATGGATTTTTAAAATATGGTATATATACACCAAGGAATGCTATTTAGCCATAAAAAAGAATAAATAAAATCCTGTCATTCTCAGCAACATGGATGGATCTGGAGGATATTATGTTAAGCAAAATAAGCCAGGAATAGAAATTTCAACACCACATGTTCTCACTCACGCAGAAGCTAAAAAATAGTTGATCTCATAGAAGTAAAAAGTAGAACAGAGGATACTGCAGGCTGAAAAGGGTAGGGAGAAAGGAGGAATAGTAAGAGATTTGTTAATGGATACAAAATTACAGCTAGGTAGAAGTAATAAGTTCTAGTGTTCTATAGTACTGTAGATGACTATAGTTAACAATACTATATTATGTAGTTTAAAATACCTAGGAGTAGTTTGAATGTTCCCAACACAAAGAAATAATAAATGTTTGAGACGATAGATATGCTAATTACCCTGATCTGATCACCATCTACATGTACTGAAACATCCCTGTATAGCCATGAATATGTATAATTTTTGTCAATTTAAAAAGTAAAAAAAAAAAATTAATCTTGGAGAATGCATTTGAAGGACTTGTACTTGAGAAATCAACTTAAGAACCTCTGTCTCCTTGGAATTTGTGTTTTCTAGACCAGCACTTCTCCAAATTAAAGCAAATTTAGGCTGGGCATGGTGGCCCATGTCTATAATCTCAGCACTTTGGAAGGCCGAGGCGGACAGATCACTTGAGGTCAGGAGTTCCAGACCAGCTCACCCAACATTGTGAAACCCTGTCTCTACTAAAAATACCAAAATTATCCGGGCATGATGGCATGTGCTGTAATCCCAGTTACTTTGGAGGCCGTGGCAAGATAATCGCTTGAACTGGAGAGGTGGAAGTTGCAGTGAGCCGAGATTGCACCACTTTGCTCCAGCCTGGGCAACAGAGCAAGACTCTGTCTCAAAAAAAAAAAAAAAAAAAAGCGAATTTAGTTCACTTTGGTATTGTGTCAAAATGCTGATTCTTTTAAAGTAAATCTAAAGAATTTAGATGTAGTTGAAGCTTGTCATCTGTTCTTAATTTTTTAATAAAAATATAATATTTCGATTCAGAGTAAATCTAAAGTGAGACCTGAAGCTGCTCCCAGGTGATACTGATGCTGCTTATTTTTGCACAGATTTTGAGTCACAAGGTTCTAAATTATTGGTTTGAAGTCCCACATGAGTAATTACTTGGGGAGCTCAATTAACACCCAGCAACAGACTAATTATTAATAAATCAGAATCTTCAGTATTAGGCTTCAATCATTGGCAATTTTTTTTTTGACACTCAGTCTCCCACTGTCGCCCGGGCTGAAGTCCTGAGGCCAGAATGAGACTAGCACATGGTTCCTTTGCCTACGTAAAGTGTGGCACACAATGGAATACTTCAGACTTCAAATTAGTATGGTAAGTGCTATGAAGAGTATGATTCGAGTCCATTATTTACCCAGAAAAGGGTCACTCAGCCCAGCCTGGGAGTTAGAGAAGGTTTCCTGAAGTCTTGACATGTGAGTCATGAAAGGACATAAGGAGTTAACCACGTGACAAAATAAGCTAAGAGAATTC